>NW_021160008.1:0-192531 GCF_000001405.40 Homo sapiens
GCTTGAGCCCAGGAGGTCAAGGTTGCAGTGATCATGCCACTGTACTCCAGCCTGGGCAACCAGAGTGAGACATTATCTGGAACAAAGCAAAATAAAAAAACCCCACCTCATTCAGAAATCCATGTACAATAGTTTGAGTTGGCTGTTTAAGATCTTCTTTAAGTAGAAATTGTTTCAATATGTGAACGGAAAGTTAATTTTCCTCTAATACTCATTGTATCATGCAATATTATGACAACAAAAAAGAAAAACTAAAGAAATTGAGCATGCTCTTGTCTGCTTTCCTGGTGGTTTTAATCAATTTGTGACAATGTTTTCATTAGACTGAACTCTGTACCAAGATGACATAGCAGAAAATCTCGGTAAGGATGGACCCCAAAACTCTCCCTTCTATTTTCTAGGGGAAGGAAAAGAAAAGATTCCTCTTCCAAAAGAATGATTAGTGATGAGAAATGACTACAGAATAGAGACTTAGCATTTTAAAAACTGAGGACAGGACAACTATCTTAGGACAGCGGTTGCCCTAACAGGGCGTCTTAGGAAAGCGGAGGTCTGAGAGGAAGAGCTGAGGGGGAATCTGACCTATTTGATGTGACACGTGGCTTTCAGGAGGGCAGTTTTTACTAGAAGCCAAAAAAGGTTGGTTTGGGCCCATCAAGAATGGACTTTGATATTCCATAGACCAAGAGGGCTAAATTCAACAGTTGACCTTAGACCGCAGGGTAAACGTGATGAGGTAACCAGAGGAACTCTAATTGAAGGGCCTGAAGAATTGAAGGGAATTACAACAGGGAGTCCCTGGGAGGATTATATGGTCAACCAAGCAGCATAAAGTCACTGTGTCACTCCTGAACTGTATGCCTCATAGCCACCTCCTCACCCTTCCTGTCATTGCAGGAGCAATGGAGTTGACAGTGTGCCCTGGGTGAGAGTGTTTCCGTGAGAGGAGGATTCTTCTAGAGATAAAAAGGCATTGGAGGAATATTAAGATTTAGAAACATGGTCTGTGAAAGGGATATTGTTCTTCTTTTTTTATACTTGGGGCAATAGCAAAAAATTAACCTGGAATCTGACAAGTAACAGAAAAAGGAAGTTCATCCCTCTCGGAGAATCACCAGTCTATTTGGGTTCTGCCCTTGCTGATGGGCTGAGGTATTGGTGAAGAATTTCCCTCTTTGCTGCCACCTTGTACGGCATGACGGGAATGGGCTTTGCATCGTTGACTGTGCTGCAAGGTCATTTCTCTGGGTGAATGGCAGGGAGAAGACCTAAATGAATCATGATCAGAGACTTCAGAGCTGGGAAGAGCTTGTCATCAGGTCCTAGAGGGGCTAGAAAGTCATTCATTGTGTTTAAAGGGTATCCATCGTAGTACCTTGCAAGTTACTTGGGAACATATGTCCGCTTCATCTGAAACTCAGGAAAAGAGTTAGCTTTTTGAAGAAGGTGAATTGTCACTTTTCTTTGGTCAGAAGAAAATGGACTGGTGGGTCAGCAACTCATGCCAGGGAGGAAAGACAATGTCCGGTGGTCAAGAGGGCTTGAACCTACTTGAAACTGGACCAGCCCAGAAGGGGCTAGAAGGGATCCTGGGACTCTAAAGTTTCCTTTACAGTGACTGCTAGAATCAGAAACATATTCAGTGGAAATGTGACTTTTTTCCTGCATATTGGTTATTATTTTAAAAATTGAAAATATGATGTGAGGCGTGGTGACTCACACCTGTAATCCCAGCACTTTGGGAGGCCAGGGAGGATGGATCACATGAGGTCAGGAGTTTGAGAGCAGCCTGACCAACACAGTGAAACCTTGTCTCTACTAAAAATACAAAAATTAGCCAGGTGTGGTGGCAGGTGCTTGTAATCCCAGCTACTCGGGAGGCTGAGGCAGGAGAATCGCTTGAACCTGGTATTGCAGTGAGCCGAGATGGCACCACTGCATTCCAGCCTGGGCAGCAGAGTGAGATTCCGTCTCACACACACACACACACACACACACACACACACACACACACACACGGACACAACACAGCTTTATTTAATCTTGATCAGATCCACAAACTCTGCCATGGTTTTTAAAATAATGATTTAACAAAACCCTTTTTCTTTTGACATATTCACAAGAAGTTGCAAAGTTAGTACAGAGAGGCGCTATTTCCCCTAATGGCTACATCTTAGGTAACTACAGTACAATATCTAAACCAGGAAACTCATGTTGGTACAATGTGCAAGGGCAGTTTTGTGTTATTTTACTACATTGGAGACTCATGTGAGCACCTCTGCAGTCAAGATACGAAACAATTCCATCACTACCAAGATTTCCCTCTTGCTACGTTTTGTACTCACATCCTTTTTTATTTTCTCTTACAATCATAAAAAGACACATTGGAAAGATCCAGCTTCTCTCATTTGTCCTAAGAGGAAATTGATTTTGGGTATGTCCACCCTTGAACCAGAGAAAAGCAGAGACTGGACATATTGAGGGAGATGAAGTTGTGGTAACAGGAACCACAACGGGGGAACCCCCCCCCCCCAGAGCAAAACCTACAGGGAAAGTCTCTGATGGACCTAGTTTCCTGAATGGAAGCATCTGTTTTAAAAAAAATCTCTCTTCCTCTATAAGGGACTACAAAGAACACAGAAGACCTGCAGCTGCCAGGAAGGAGCTCATTCTGATTGTAACCATTGTGTTCTGCCTCATCTCCAAATGGGCTGTTTGCATTGTGTATCTATCTCCCTTTAGGTTTAATGTGGAAACAAATCATTTCTTTTGTCTTCATTGCTTAAGGACTGAGTGTGAAATATTTTTGGCATAATATGCTCAGGTTTTTCTGGGCATCTGCCTATTCATGGATAAAATGAAAATGTTTCTTGATCTCTCTTAGACAGAAAGCAAGAAGAACTTAAGGTTTTTAACAGAAAAAATAAAAGAGGATGGCTAGAATAAAAATCCACAGAAATAGGGCCGGGCGCTATGGCTCATGCCTATAATCCCAGCACTTTGGGAGGCCGAGGCGGGCGGATCATGAGGTCGGGAGATTGAGATCATCTTGGCTAACACGGTGAAACCCCGTCTCTACTAAAAATACAAAATTAGCCGGGCGTCATGGCGGGCACCTGTAGTCCCAGCTATTCAGCAAGCTGAGGCAGAAGAATCATTTGAACCTGGGAGGCAGAGGTTGCAGTGAGCCTAGATCACGCCACCGCACTCCAGCCTGCGTGACAGAGCGAGCCTCTGTCTCAAAAAAAAAAAAATCACAGAAATAAAAATTCACAGAATAAAAATGCACGGAAGCAGGGATGAAAGCAAAAAAAGCACCTGAGCACCTAGTTGGGGGAGAAGTCAGGACAGCAGAGAAGAATCCTGGGGCCACTGCAGGTGAGTGTGTCAGATCTGAGTAGGACTGAAGAAGACCTAAAAGGGAGAATTTGGCCTTCTCATAGGGCCAAGCAGAGGCCGGTTGTGTGGGGCAGGGCTGACCCCAAAAGGCTTGACAGAGACCCCCGAGGAGAGGTTTTGGAAAACACTGAACACCTAGGTTGGACCTAGATGAACTTTACCTGCTCTGCCACATAATTGTGATACAATTTATGTAGAATTTTTTTCCAGCAATTTACGAAGTTGTCTCGAGTTTGCCTTAAGTGGCCCTAAGCCTTTCAGGTCTCTTTTCCCGGTCCTTGGTGGCTTGCCTCCGTTTTGGTGTCCTGTGTTGTCCTCACTGTCATCATCTATCCTCTGAAAATATGATTTTTTTTTCCTGCATGCCTGTTATTTTCCTTCCTTCCTTCCTTCCCTTCCCTTCTTCCCTCCCTCCTTCTGTTCCTTCCTCTCTCTCTCTCTCTCTTTCTTTTAGACGGGGTCGCACTCTGTTGCCCACGCTGGAGTACAGTGGCATAATGACAGCTTACTGTAGCCCCAAACTCCTGGGTTTAAGGAGTCCTCCCACCTCAGCCTCCTGAGACACTGAGACTACAGTCATGCACTACCACACCTGGCTAATTTTTAATTTTTTTGTAGAGACAGGGTCTCGCTATGTTGCCCAGGCTGGTCTTGAACTCTTGGCCTCAAGCAATCTTCTCTCCATGGTCTCCCAAAGTGATGGGATTGTAGGGATGAGCCACCACATCTGGCTCTTCTTTGGTTTCAATATGCTCACTTGACGTAATAAAACCCTGCTTCCTGTGTGCCTGAATGGTACGGCTGCTAGTGGCTAGGGGAAAACACACAAGCTCACACAACTGTCTCAAAAAAGGTGAGAATGTCTCACAAAAGAACAACTGTCTCCCTTTTAACTGTTGGCCATGAATCTCAAATGAACCCTTCATGCTCCCAGGCAATCAAAATTCCCTAATCCATTCTCAATCCCACTGTCCCAGATGACTATTTCATTTCTTCTCTCTTCTCACACCCCTGAAATTCTCCATCCTCATTCTCAGCTGATGACCTTATTTTCTACCTCACCAAGACACATGAAACCTAGCAGAGAGCTTCTACCACCACCACATCTACTGGAATACTGGCATCTGTTCCCTTACACTCAGCTGGCATGTGTGTTAACTTATCCGTTGGTGACTTATCCATGCTTCCAACTCGATTCCATCTCCACCCACCCCATCACCATTTCCCTCCCTATTGTGTAATTCCTATCTGTATGTTAACATGTTGTAATTCCTCTAAACTTAAGACAGACTTCTCTTGACCACAATTCCTCCAACAGCTTTCCCTATTTATTTGCTTCCGTTTGCAGCAAATTCCTTAAAATAATTGATTATACCCTGTTTCCAGTTCCTACTCTCCCGCTCTCTCTCCAACTTGGCTCTGGCTTTTCCCCCTATCATTCCACCATACTGTGCTTTTCTGGGTCACCAATGACTCTGACATTGCTCCATCCAAGGATGGATGCTCAGTCTTTATCTCCACCTCGATGCACTTTCTTTCCTTGGCTTCTGAGCACTGAGCTCCCCAGGTTTTCCTCCTACCTTGGTGGTCATGGTCCTGGTCAGCCTGGGCCCTACAACAGAGGCGAGAGCCTCCTGCATTCTCTTCCCAATGCCCTGTGGGGCATGACGGTTTCCAGGCTGGCTGGTGGCATCAGGCACTGTTCCCAGGCCTGGTGATTGCCGGGTGGCGTTCCCTCTGCTGATGTTATTGGGATTCTCCCCATCCCCAGGTAGTTTTCTCACATGTGAGTGCTGAGCAGTACTCAGTTAAATACTTGTGGGATCCTCTGCAGACTTCTGGCCATCTCTCTGTGTACCTTTCTCCTCCCTGATCCTCAGTTCTGTGACCTCCAGGGGCCTTGGTTTCCTGGATCTGGGCCTGTGTCTCCTCAAGTCAGGGAGCTGACTGAGTCCTACCTGGATTTCTCCTTCTAGCAACTCAGCTTGGAAACTCTCTCAAGGCAGTAAAATGGGCCCAGTCTCTCAGGCATCGTTGTCTTTTTTTGTCCAATGTCCAGTGTCTCAAAAACCGTTGTTTCATGTATTTTAGTCTTCTTTGTTGTTGTTTGGTTCAGGAGGTCGGTAAATCTCCTTCTTCTTGGCCCTAAACTAGTAGCCATCTGAAAATCAACATGTTCCAGACAGAACCTATCAGACCTGCTCGTCTCGTACTCATCCCCATCAAGCTGACACCATTTTCTCACCCCTCCCCTTCCAGTGTCTACTCCGTCAGGAAACCCTTTGGTTCTTCTTTAAGTTTTATCCATAATCTGACCACTTCTCACCACTTCCACTGCACCCCTGCTCTGAGCTACCATCACTTCTTGCCTGCATTACTGTAATTGCCACCGAATTGGTCCTTTTTATGCCCTTTTTCAGCTGTAGTATGTCTTCAATTCAGCAGCCAGCATGAGCCTTTCAATGTGTGCACACGGAGCACTCTGCCCAGAACATGGCGTGGCTGCCTGCGCATTCTCTGATGGATCAGGCAGCTGCTCACTTCAGGGCCCTTGGCTTCTTCCTGGAATATTCTTTCCCTAGGTCTCTGAATGTCTAACTTCCTCCGATCTTTGATACATGTCAACTTTTTCAATGAGGCTACTCCTTTACAATTTTTAAATTCTTATTTTCTATATTTTTTTAAATACAGAGTCTTGCTCTGTTGCCCAGGCTGGAGTGCAGTGGTGAGAACATTGCTCACTACAGCCTCGAATTCCTGCGCTCAAGTGTGCCTCCTGTTTCAGCCTCCTGAGTAGCTGGGACCACAGGCACACATCATCATGTCCAGCTAATTTTTAATTTTTTATAATGATGGAATCTCACTATGTTGCCCGGGTTAGTCTTCTTTCACGGTTTTTGTTTTTTTTTTTTTTTAAACATCTGATGTCACCAGTTGGTTCTGACCAGGTTGGTCTCGAACTCCTGGGCTCAGATGATTCTCCAGCCTCGACCTCCTAAAGTGCTAGGATTATAGGCATGAGCCACTGCTTCCAGCCTAATTTTTTTTTTTATTTAAAGAGCACCATCTATTTTTTGAATAGGTAAAACACCTACATGGTTAAAACTTTGAAAGATCAAAACAGCATACAGTGATAACTTTTCCTTCCACTCCTATGTCCCCCCAGAGACCACCAATATTTCTTGTATATCTTTCTAGTGATCTTTTATACACATGTAAGTGATATATGCCTACTCCTGTTATGTATACAAATAGTAGCATTTTATTATTTTATTTCATTTATTTTTGAGACAGAGCCTTGCTGTGTCGCTCAGGCTGGAGTACAGTGGTGTGATCATAGTTCATTGCAGCTTCGACCTCCCAGGCTCAAGCCATCCTCCCACCTCAGTCTCCCAAGTAGCTGGTACTACAGGCATGTGCCACCACCTGGCTACAAATGGAAACGGTAGCGTTTTATACATAATATTTTATACATTCTGCATTTTACTTGTTTTCACTTACCATGCTGTCTGTAGTAAGGATTGAATGGTTACATTGCATTTCATCATTTGGATATTCCATAATTTACCTGAAACTTTGGTACCAGATACCTTTCAGAATGCAGGATTCCAATATTTTGTTATTATAAACAATGCTGCAATGACTAACCTACATGTGCGGTTTATTTCATATGTGAGAAAATGTGGGCTGAATTCCTAGAAGTTGAATTGGTGAGTGAAAAGGCATATGTATTTGTAATTTTGGTTACCTGTTACCAAATTGCTCTCTGTAGGGATACATTCCGAAAAGCAATGTGTGAGAGTGTCTTTTTCTTTACATTTTCAACAACATGGTATATTATTTTTGCCAATCTTACAGGTAAAAAGATGGCATTTTATTTAAATATTTTCCTTATTATGAGTGAAATTAAGCCCCAAAGCCTCAAAGCAATTTATATTTTCTTTTCTGTGAACCATCTATTCACAGATCATTGGTTTTGCCTGTACTTTCCTATTCCAGTGCACTTTGAGAATAAGACACATATGAGTTTGGGGTGGGGGAATGGGAATTAGAAGGTCAGAGGAGTCATCTGAGTTTCCTGGGAACTCCTCCGATTATTAAAATAAGAAGAGGGCTGGGCACGGTGGCTCATGCCTGTAATCCCAGCACTTTGGGAGACCGAGGTGGGCGAATCACTTGAAGTCAGGAGTTCGAGACCAGCCTTGCCAACATGGTGAAATGCCATCTCTACCAAAGGTACAAAAATTAGCTGGGCATAGTGGCAGGCGCCTGTAATCCCAGCTACTCGGGAGGCTGAGGCAGGAGAATCTCTTGAACCTGGGAGGTGGAGGCTGCAGTCAGCTGAGATTGTGCCACTGCATCCAGCCTGGGTGATAGAATGAGACTCTGTCTCAAAAAAAAAAAAAAAAAAAAAGTTTAAAAAAAGTTAAAAAAAAACAACTCATCACTTGGGAATGTTTTAACTCTGCTGGTCTTCTGAAGTTCAGGCCTGTGTGTGCTGGGTCATGTAAAGTTGTTTAAACAAGTCTGGAACAGTCAATTGTGCAATAACACCATGATACTGTTCTATTACAAATACTTATAATGCTTAATCCAAGTTCTGTGTCCTTTTCTGATTTTTAGAGATCTTAAAGAATACAAGTGATTTAACAATATTGTTAGTGATTCAGCTTGGAAACAAAAATTTCATAGCACTCCTCTCCTAAGGAATATTTAGAGACTGGAAGATGAGCTGTTAAAAAAGCTGTTATAGGCTGGGTGCAGTGGCTCTTGCCTGTAATCCCAGCACTTTGGAGGCCGAGGCAGGCGGATCACTTGAGGTCAGGAGTTCGAGACTAGCCTGGCCAACATGGCAAAACTCCGTCTTTACTGAAAATACAAAAAATTTAGCTGGGCAGTGGTGACAGATGCCTGTAATTCCAGCTACTCAGGTGGCTGAGGCACAAGAATCAGTTGAACCCTGAGGCAGAGGTTGCAGATAGCCAAGACTGCACTACTACACTCCAGTGTGAGTCACAGAGTGAGAGTCTGTCTTGAAAAAAAAAAAAAAAGCTGTTATATTTACAACTATGCATGTGGGAAAATCAGCATTTTCTTTATATTGTACAATCAAAACAAAACACAGATATTTATTGTTATCCATAACCCTAATTGTAAATGTGTGCATAAACTTAACTGTTCTTGTTGCCTTCCTGAGTAAATATTTTAAATATGACCTTCCTTACAAAATATTTTTATATAAATTAAATACAACTTTTGACTCATTTTGCACACTGGCATTTCTCATAAAACTTTATTTGGAAAAAGTTATATTCAATGACCCAATGGTATCAAAGTGGAAGAGGAAAGTGACAACTAGAGATTGATAACTATATCCTCTGCAATCCTCAGAAGAAAGAAAGGGGCCCTTTGGGTTGTTTCAGGTAAAGTACATCAATGGGACTACAGGAAAGAGAATTTCACACACGGTCTTTCTGCATCAGTAATTTTAATAGAGACTCTTAGTGGTTATCAACAACTGGTCAGTTGTTTTTTGTTTTTTTTTTTCCACACTGCTCTCTGGATTCGAACCTAGTGAATTCTGGGCTCAGTCCTCCTCCTCCATCTCTTTCTTGATCCAGTCCACGTAGTTGAGCACTTTGGTGTAGAAGCCATAGCCCCTGCTGCACCCGATGCCCCAGGACACGATGCCCGTGGCCACCCAGCGATCAGTGTTCGGGTCCCTTACTGCAAAAACGCCCCCACTATCCCCCTGGCAGGCGTCCTGCTTTAGAGATGGGTGTCCAGCACAGAACATGTTTTGAGAGAACACATCCATCCTATTCTTTCCCCGGAGCCAGTTCTCACAGGCCTGTGGATTAGCTACGGGCAGACGGACAAACCTGAGGTCATGAGCAATCTTCTCCTCCATGACCCCGAAGCCACTGACATAGCCCATCAAGCCCAGGTCGTAGAAGGTATCGTTGTCAGGGAGGCAGATGGGGAGGAGGTTGGGACCCAGGGTGACACTATTTTCCAGCTCCAGCAGGGCGATGTCCCCCTCAAAATTGTAGGACTCATCCTGACGGTAGTCCGGGTGGACGCTGACCCTGCGGATGGGGTGATTTCCTAGCTTCATGAGCTCTTCCACATTTGTGTGGCCCAGGAACACATCCAAAGAGGCGTTGCTTTGCGCTTCGTGTTCCTTGGGATACAGGGTGTGGGCAGCTGTGAGGATCCAGCGGTCGCCCAGCAGGGCCCCGCCCCCGCGCCCGTGGATGTTGGTGAACACCTGCCAGGGGAAGTTGCCCATCTTGGCTTTTTGCCCTCCGATGATGCGCTGCCTCTGTTCCACGGGGTTCACGGGCTTCCCACACACTGAGGGAGAGACAGGGAAGACAAGGGCAAGTCAGTTCCAGGTCCCACATCTCTTCCTTCTGCAGCCAGCCAGCTCCCTGTTTGCCCTCTCTTTTTGGCTTCTGTCTCTTTTCTCTTTCTCCTCCCATCCCCACACCTCCGTCATTGGCCTATTGACAGGCTCTTCTTGTTCTTGTTTTTTTTTTTTTTTTAAATTATTATTTTTATTTTTTGAGACTCCTTGCTCTGTTGCCTAGGCTGGCATGCAGTGGCGCGATTTCAGCTCACTGCAACCTCCGCCTCCTGGGTTCAAGCAATTCTTGTGCCTCAGCCACTCAAGTAGCTGGGACTACAGGCATGTGCCACCATGCTTGGCTAATTTTTCTCTTTTTAGCAGAGGCTGGGTTTCGCCATGTTGGCCAGGCTGGTCTCGAACTCCTGACCTCAGGTGATCCGCTTGCCTTGACCTCCCAAAGTGCTGGGATTACAGGTGTGAGCCACCACGTCTTGCCCCTTGTTCTTGTTTATTTCTTCCTAGGGGGTCTCCCATTGTTTTTATTCCCTGATTTCCCATCTGCTTAGTGAAAATGGCAGCATTTCGGGACTGAATTCAGCACTCTGTCCCTCTCTCCCTTTCTCCTGGGATGTTCCCCTCTTCTCTCCTCTCTCTCCTTTTTCTGGGCCACACTGCTTTTGAGGCCCTGCAGGCTGCTAAAGACCCTGATGATGGCCCCAGAGGGTTTCCACTCACCTGGCAAGCACCGAGGAATCTTCTCTCCCTTCTGTTCATTCTTCCAAATGCCCTGTGCTGTGCAGGTGTACACCCCTGAGGGCAGAGGAGGCAAGAATCAAGTTGGGGGGTGATGGGTAAGAAAACTAGGTTGCAGAGGCCAGCAAGTACTGAGTGTGCTTGATGGGGAGAGGGGCAGGGAGGAGCCAACATGGCAAGGGCCAAAGGTCAAAGGCTCAACTCTAGAAGGAAAGAATGTCAAGTGTTCAGAGGCTCTAGACCTATATTTTGTTTTAATGCCAAGTAAAAAAATCAGAATGCTTAACTATTTTTTTTTTTGGGACGGAGTCTCACTCTGTTGCCCAGGCTGGAGTGCAGTGGCGCAATCTCGGCTTACTGCAAGCTCCGTCTCCCAGGTTCATGCCATTCTCCTGCCTCAGCCTCCCAAGTAGCTGGGACTACAGGTGCCCGCCACCATGCCCGGCTAATTTTTTGTATTTTTAGTAGAGACAGGGTTTCACCGTGTTAGCCAGGATGGTCTCGATCTCCTGACCTCGTGATCCACCTGCCTCGGTCTCCCAAAGTGCTGGGATTACAGGTGTGAGCCACCACGCCTGGCCAGAATGCTTAACTATTAACATATGTTTGCTGTGATCCCTGCTTGTGAAAGTAGACATAAAAACCAGAAGGAATATATCAAAATCTTATCAGTGATTGCATCTTGGTCGTGGAATCATAGACGATAATTGTAGCTACATCTTCTGATTGCTGAAAATGTGCCATGCTTGTTGCTAAGCACTTTATCTGCACGATCTCATTTAAACACTATAGTGACACTTGCAGGTGTGTGTTATTATCCTCATTTTGTGGATGAGGAAACTGAGTTTAAATAATTTGCACAGGGTCACATAACTTCTAAGTGCCAGAACCAAGGTGCAAGAGGTTTTCTGACTCCAAAGCCCAGCTCTTAATGAATACCATTTATAATCCAGATTTTTTCCCTTTTTTCTGTGTTTCAAACCTATAATGCATGTGATTTCTAATATTTAAAAAAAGTTAGAAAAATACCCACTAATGAGTGAGAGTCGTTTAGTAAAACTAAGTGCAAAAATCACAACTAGGTTGAGGGGGAGAATGGAGAGGGGAGTTTCACTGAGTTAGCTGTAGTGGTCATGATGGTGGTGAAGACTGTGGTGTTGGTGTTGGTGGTGATGGTGTTGTTAATGGTGGTGTTGTTAATGGTGGTAGTGGTGATGGTAGTATTTGCTGTGATGGTGTTGGTAGTGATGATGGTGTTGGTAATGGTGATGGTGGTAATGGTGTTGGTGGTGATGGTGGTGTTGGTGTTGGTAATGATGGTGGTGACAGTGGTGTTGGTAATGGTGTTAGTAATAGTGGTGGTGATAATGGTAGTGATGATGGTGGTGTTTGTAATGGTGATAGTGATGATGGTGATGGAGGTGATGGTGGTGTTGGTGTTGGCAATGGTGGTGGTGGTGATATTGGTGTTGGTAATGGTGGTGGTGATCATGGTAGTGGCGACAGTGGTGTTGGTAATGGTGATAGTGGTGATGGTGTTACTGTTGGTGGTGATGATGACGATGATAGTGGTCATAGTGGGGATGATGGTGTTGGTGGTGGTGATGGTGGTGTTGGTGTTGGTAATGGTGGTGGTGGTGACAGTGGTGTTGGTAATGGTGTTAGTAATGGTGGCGGTGATAATTGTAGTGGTGATGATGGTCTTGGTAATGGTGGTAATGATGATGGTGTTGGTAATGGTGATGGTGGTGATGGTGGTGTTGGTGTTGGTAATGGTGGTGGTGGTGACAGTGGTGTTGGTAATGGTGTTAGTAATGGTGGCGATGATAATGGTAGTGGTGATGGTGTTGGTAATGGTGATAGTGGTGATGGTGGTGATGGAGGTTTTAGTGTGGTGGTGACGATGGTGTTGGTGGTGGTGATGGTGTTGGTAATGGTGATGGTGGTGATGGTAGTGTTGGTGTTGGTAATCATGATGGTGATAATGAGAGTGGTGATAGTGGTGTTGGTAATGGTGTTGGTAATAGTGGTGGTGATGGTGTTGGTAATGGTGGTAGTGATCATGGTAGTGGTGACAGTGGTGTTGGTAACAGTATAGTGATGATGGAAGTGGTGTTAGTGTGGTGGTGATGATGATGTTGGTAATGGTGATGGTGCTGATGATGGTGTTGGTGGTGATGGTGGTGGTGATGGTGGTGTTGGTAATGGTGGTGGTGATCATGGTATTGTTGACAGTGGTGTTGGTAATGATAGTGGTGATGGTGGTGATGGTGGTGTTAGTGTGGTGGTGATGATGATGTTAGTAATGGTGATGGTGGTGATGATGGTGTTGGTGGTGATGGTGGTGTTGGTGTCAGTAATGGTGGTGGTGATAGTGGTGTTGGTAATGCTGGTGGTGATAATGGTAGTGGTGATGGTGGTGTTGGTAATGGTGGTGGTGATCATGGTAGTGTTGACAGTGGTGTTGGTAATGATAGTGGTGATGGTGGTGATGGTGGTGTTAGTGTTGGTGGTGATGATGATGTTGGTAATGGTGATGGTGGTGATGATGGTGTTGGTGGTGGTGATGGTGGCATCGGTGTTAGTAATGGTGGTGGTGATAGTGGTGTTGGTAATGGTGGTGATAATGGTAGTGGTGATGGTGGTGTTGGTAATGGTAACAGTGTTGATTGTGGTGATGGCGGTGATGGTGGTGATTGTGCTGGCACTGATGCTATTGGTAGTGTTGCTGGTGTTGTTACTGGTAGTGGTGGTGATGGCAGTGATGGTAGCAATGGGGGTGTGGTGGAGGCAATGGTGGTAGTGGGGATGATGTGGTGACAGTGAGCTGTTTATGCGATTTGAATCTTTTCTTTGCATCAGCTCAGATGCCTCCTTCTTCAAACCTACTAGGTTCCTGTTAGCACTATAATTTAGGCCCCTGAAGCCAGTGCCCTGGCAGATACCTTAATATGCATTCCCTAGGGATTCTACTGGGAGAAATCTCAGAGGATACCCCAAGGGGATGGAAGGGAGGAAATTTCCATTCGCATTGGTCCCTACCTTGCTCAGACTCCCTGCTGCCAGCTCTGGTCTGCATCTTGTAATATGGCTCATGGCAGTAGTACTGGATACGGGCCTTGTAGGTGTTCACTCCCATTGTGGTGGTGTAACGGAAGTCACCATTAGGCAGGTTTCGGGGCTGCCCACAGTCCTTGACTTGGAGAGAACACAGGGCAGGGTGAGAGCTGAGAATGACTGTGCTGGAACTTCAGTGAGGGGAGTGTGAGTTGTCTACCTGCAGAGCAGGCTCAGAAGCTTAGAAAAGATAGTCAGTGGGGAGGGCCCTTGCAATGGACAGGAGTTGGGTGGTATGAAATTCAATTCTGGGTAGAGCCCATCCATCCCACTGAGATGAGGGCTCACTGATTCCTGAGATGGCCCATAGGCATCAAAGGACAAGTCAGGGTGAGGGTCTCTTGGAAAGAGGCTTAGTCTGGACCCCTCTTTCTTTCTTGGCCCAGGTCCTCAAGGCAGGAGGTGGGAGGTCCCCAGGGTCATATCCCTGAATTGTGACTTACTCTTGCATCTGGGCATGGCACGATGCCACGTGCCATCATCCTGGCAGACAGCTGTGAAGGAATGCAGCACCTGGTTCCCCTGTTGAGCAGAGGATAGAGGTGCCATCAGTGCCAAGAGGCAATGGAGGTCCCCTTCCTGCCCTTTCCACACAGGAGTGGGAGGCAATACCAAGACATCTCTTGGCTCCCCCATGGATGTGGCTCCCCCATGGATGTGGCTCCCCCATGGATGTGGCTCCTTCTTCCTTCTCCCCAGCCCATTACAGACAGGAGCATTGAGCCACACCACAGCAAGTCAGAGCAGAGCTAACTGATAGACCTGATCATCCTCTCTCTAGACTGTGGCCTGTTCCTACTGAGGTCCAGTTGAATCCCACAATTTGTAATTTGAAAAAATCACAAGCCACGTTTGAGTGTTTTCTGTATCAAAACAAAAGCCTGTGCTCCAGGGCAGAACTGTGTTTCTCTTGCTGGTGTCCCCTGCCTCCAGGCGTGCATCACTTTATCTCTCCTGGGTTGCAGTTTTCCTAAGGACAGAGGCCTTCCCTAAAATACTAGAGCCACCTCGCAGCTTTGAAAGGTGCTGGAGACGTTGATGTATGTGAAGTGCTGTTGCTATTGAGCAGGGACAAGACTAGGAAATGGCAGTCTTTGAAATGAAAAGTTACTGGACAAATGAATAAGTTTTACTAAGACCAAAATTCGGCCAGGTGCAGTGGCTCACGCCGGTAACCCCAGCACTTTGGGGGGCTGAGGTGGGCGGATCACTTGAGGCCAGGAGTTCGAGACCAGCCTGGGCAACATGGAGAAACCCTGTCTCTACTAAAAATACAAAAATTAGCTGGGCATGGTGGCGCACGCCTGTAATTCCAGCAACTCGGGTGGCTGAGGCACTTGAATAGCTTGAATCCAGGAGAAACACTTGAACTTGGGAGGCGGAGTTTACAGTGAGCTGAGACCATGCCACTGCCTGGGTGACAGAGCAAGACTCTCTCTCAAAAACAAAACAAGACAAAACAAAAAGACCAAAAATCATTCCATGGAGTTAGCCCTGGAAAAGGTTGTAAGAGAATGTGTATGAGAACTAGAACGTCTGAGTAAAATGTAGGTAATGTGAGAAACCGTGTGACTTGCTTTAAATTCTATGATGTGAATAACAAATGCAAAAGTAAGGGCAGTGGGTGGTGCAGGCAAGGGAGGGTTGTAATAGGAGCAAAGAGGTTGGTAGTCTCCATTCTTCTGGACCCAGGACACCCACCCAATCCTCCTGATGGAGCTGGAAGCACCTTGGAGTAAAGAACAATGCATCAGGTGAACTCGACTTGATGCAACATTCAAATGTGAGCTCCACAAAGGCTGTGTGACTATGTGGGTTTCTTTTTACTGAACCTCCCACATCTAGGACAGTGCCTGACAGTAGACACTTAAAGTGTGCATTAAATGAATTAACTGTGACTTAAGGACATATCCTAGGTCTCTTCTTTGATTCTGATTAAGTGTTCCATGTGGACCTGTTGAACAACGATGGGATGTCCAGTCTTGGGTCTCTGTCCAGAGACAGAGATTTTTAGTTTACCAGCTTTTGTGAGATTGATCAATGGATAAAACCATATTCCCTCCTGAATCTGCAGAGCCGAGGACAGGACGGTGGGCGCAGGGGGAGACCACCAACATGTGTAAAAGAGCCCCGGAGCAGGAGGCAGGAGATTGGCGTCCTAGTCCCTGCCGTACACAATCGCTACGTGATGTTGACGAGTCACTACATCTCCACCCTGCCTTTTCAGTTCCTTCAGCTCTCTTGAGTTATTGGACTAGGGCAATAGTTCTTAAACTTGGCTGTGCATTAGAATCACCTGGGTAGCTTTAAATAGTCTTGATGTTCAGGCTCTACTCTAGATCAATGGAATCAGAGTCTCTGTTGGGGGCCCTCATCTTCAGTATTTATTTGCTTATTTTTATTTTTCAGAGACAGAGTCTTGCTATATTGCTCAGGCTGGAGTGCAGTGGCTATTCACAGGGGCCTTGAATGAATGGGCTCAAGCAATCTTCCAGGATTTTAAACTCTCTGTTTTAAGTGTGCAGCAAGTTTGAGAGCTGGTGGACCAGGAGACTCTTCCAGCTGAAACGTCTACGACTCCAGCTGGGGTGAGACTAAATCCTCTGTGAACCCACCACCTGAATTCCTCCTGGGGTGCTGGGCCGGCTCTCTCCCCTCAGCCCTGGGCTCTTACCTCTATGAGCTGGTAGCCTTGCTTGCAGGTAGCAATGAAGTAGTCACGGAACTGGTACTGAGGCTGCAGGTTCTGGATGATGGTGAACTCGTCTAGGGTCTTGGGCTGGGGGCACTTGATGACTGTTGGGGAGACCAGGGGGCATATTTATTTCAGAGCCACTTGTCCTTCCTTCTTCCCCCCTTTTCCCCATTGCTGGCCATCGAGGGAGGCCTGCAGGGAGCCTTACTCTCGGTGGTGTAGCGCAGCTTCCAGCCCCGGCTGTCCCCCGACTCATCTGTGAAGAACAGCAGATCCACAGCATTGCTGCTGGTGTCGAGGTCGGGGGGCCTTTGCTTCCCACAGAACTCGCCAATGTTCTTCCCGTTGGCATAGATCTAGTAGGGGAGGAGGGTTTTTTTTTTTCAGCTTGGACGTTTTTACACAGGGCCAACTGGGTAGTAGCCTGGTGGCCAGGGTGGTGGTGGTGGTGATGAAATCCTGCCTTATGTGTGTTTTCAGGGGAAGGTGAAAAGGGATCCCCATGACCCAATTCTAGTTGTGTGGGAACTTACCCAGCCCATGGGTGATGTTGGCCGTTCCTGCCCCAGCTGGCCAGGGGATCCAGGAGGAAGTTGGGACAAGAGGAGCCAAGTGCAGACAGAAGGGGAGGAAGGGGTCTTTCAGGGGTAGGACGGCTGTACCTGTAGCTGGTCATAGGGGCAGTGTACTTGCTGGTGGTCATCAATATCAAAAGGCTCCAGGAACTTGAGGTGCAGGGTGAGGCCCCGCTCCACCCGGATGCTGTAGTTGCAGCGCAGGTCAGGGGGGTAGGACCGAGGGTACTCCAGGCTGGAGATGTAGCCTGATGCCTCCGTGTACAGCTCGCTGCTGCACTCAGCTGTGAGAGCAGAGCCACAGGGCATTACGGGGGACTCCAGCTGGCCCAGCAAGCCCTGGCTCAACCCCTTCCCCTCTGCTACACCACTCTGGCTCACCCTGGCAGGAATGCCTGTCTTCCTGAAGCTCATAGCCTGGACGGCAGGAACAGAAGTAGCCTCCAACGTAGTTGTGACACAGGTGCTGGCACTGGGGCTGGGGATCCTCCTCCCCTGATTTGCTCCGGGAAGCACATTCATCAAGGTCTGGAAGGCATTCAGGAAGGAGGGTTAAGCTTCTGCTGGGAGACCTGAGTAGTGGCTCTGATCTTAGGGAGGTCACTCACCAGAGACCTAAAGACAAAGGCATCTTTAGGCCACCTGGACCTCCAGGCCTCTCCAATGCTCTCTGGGGACTGCTCCATGGGGACAGAGCCCAGGTTGACAGGCCTCGTTAGGAAAAGCTCTCTCGAGGGGAGGAACAAGGAAAGCCAGGCTTTCGGCTTCTTTGCATTCAAGATTCCCTTTCTTGGCCCCCCATTCAATATGGCTGAGGTCAGAGAAAAGGGATCCCTGGGGGGCTACTCACCCACAGCTTGGTAGTAGGCCAGGAAGCCCTTGTAGAACATGATGGTCCCATTCTCCTCGTTGGAGAAGTCTGTGTGGAAGGTCAGCAGCATCTTGTTCCCTTGGGACATAAATTCCTTCTTTCCCGGGGGGTTGCCCAGTGGAGAACCCAGTTGCCCACAGAACCTCCCCAGGCTTTTCTTATCAGCAGAGATCTGGTGGAAGAAGGACAGGGGGTAGGAAGAAGATCTGTTGCGGAGTGGCGCACGTGGTGGCTCAGTGATGGTCCTCCTTGTCTCGCCCAGAGTGCATCATGCACCACAATGGCTCTGGCTGGTCACTACCTGCTGGGCTCAGCTGCTGCAAACTTCCCCATGTGACTTTCAGCTGTTCCCTGAGTCTCCCACTGACTCACTCTTTGCGTGTTGTCCTGGACTGGGTACCTCACCCTTTCCCTGTTTTCTGCTCCTCTGGCAGGTTTCAGGTCCTTCTCCATCCCCACCACCTCCTATGGCCTGTTCCCCTGGGGTCCTGGTTGTCTGTACCCAGCCTTTACCTGCCCCTCATTCCCAGAGCTCAGACAGCTCCGCTTTATTTTCTGTCTTCAGATTCCACCTCAGCCTAATCAAACCATTCACACCTCGAGTGCCTCCTGATGCCCTCGGCGGAACATGAGCCCTGAAGCCCACCCATCTCAGTGTCAGCAGGCACTGCCTCGTCCCTCTTCCTTCCTCCTCACAGCCTCCTCAACCTCTCCTTGACTCTGCCAGCAAACGCCCTCCCCCAACACTGCACACTCGCCAAGTCTTCTGAGCCGGTAAGACGTGCCATTGTCATGTAATTCACGCATAATCTCCAGGGGTCTCCTGGGAATGGTAGTTGTTGGACCTTCGCAGGCTCTGCTTGAGCCCTGAATCTCATTTTTACTGGATAGAGAAAGACAGGCCTGGGAAGGTACCCTTGGTTGCCACAGAGGTGAGGGTTCTGAGCACACTGTCCTTGCTGAAGGCTATTCCTGTGCTGCCAGAGCCCACATTTCTCCTCCTCATGTCCCTGTGTTCCTGTTGAAGCAGGCAGCCATGTCAATCATTTCCTTGGAGACAGGGAAGCTGAGGCACAGTGGTTTCCCAAAGACTCTCAGCTAGACAGCAGATGGGGAAGGTTTTCCTGACTCAGTGGATGTTGAATTTCCTGAGTGGGTCCTGTCCCCTTCCTTCTCTGTGCTTCTCCCCTCAGTGCTCACCGAGGGCCTCTACACCAGTGAGCGCCCATCCAGGGCATCCCCGGGCTCTCAGAGAGGCCGTTGGCCATCAGCTCTTGTGGGGCTGGGCTGTGTCTGGGGGTGTGCATGCCATACAGATCCCAGATCCCAGAGGGCCCAGTTTTGTCTCCCCTCTGCCCGCCCATCCTGCCCCTACCTTGACATAATCATAGAAGCAGCCTTCAGAAGGCTCCAGGTCAAACTGCTGGAAGACGAGCTTCACCCTGTATCCCGTGGGGACTGTGATCACAGTGGTTGTTTCAAAGTTGTTGGGGTAAGGCTTGGGGAACAGAGGGGAAGTCACCTCCCCAAATAACTTCTGAGGGATGGGAATGGAGCCTCCTGCCCTGCAGAACAGGGCCGGCACCAGGAGGTACAAGAGCCACCTGCCAAAACAAAAGAGAGTATCTGGAGCTGGAGGGGTTCAGCACTCTTGCCATGTGGGCAGTGGCTGTGGCAGGGGATGAGACGGCCATACCACTGGGCATTCTCCTCTCTGCCCACCCTGAACCTCACAGACATGTTCTCAGCAGGGGTGCGTGGGTGGGGAGGATGGCCTGTGCAGCTGCTGCATCGGGTCACTCTCCAGGGCAGTGTCCAGTCCAGAGGCCACCACACTCCCCTCACACTCCCTTTCCAGCCTCCTCCCCTGCCCGGACGCGTCCCTCCCCTCCCCTTCCAGGAATAGGACTGGCTTGGGACCAGTTAATGGAGGGTGAGGGTTTCCACCCGTGGGTCTCTGAAAGGGCTCCCACAGGTTCAGCAAGAGCGTCTGGGAGAAACCATCTGTGGAGTGGGGGACACAGGCACAGAGTGTCCCGTCCTGGGCAAGGGGTCCCCTCCTCTCGCTGCTCCCTGCCAAGAGCCCAGAGGGAAGAAAGGACCATGGCATGAGCATCTATGTATGAAGTCTCCTCTGATCCCTAGGAGGAGGGATGGGGCGTGTGTTGTGTGTGTCCACGCGTGTGCACAGTGGAACTGATGAGGTGTGTGAAGAGAGAAGGGTGTTCCTGTCTCCCTGAATTGCCTCCCATGCCCTGGCTTCTCCCCTGGCTTCTCCCTCCCACCTGGTTGCCCATCACCCTTACTCACATTTCTCAAGGCCCGTGTTGAATCCTGGGCTCTCCCGACAGCGTCTTCGTGCACTGTGTGCAGAGGGAGCCCGCGTCATGCACAGCAGGGAGGGGAGGGTTTTCTGTGGAGTGGAGGGGGGACCATTCCCGGAGGAATGTTGGAGGGAATGAACTATTTGCATAAACAAAAGATCTGAGTTTCCACTTTAATTTAGTTTTGGTTTTGAAATCCCTGTTTGTGGTGCCACCTGCTGGTCGGTGAGGGAAAGGGCTAAGGAGACGGGAGTCTGGCTTTTTAGGGCCCGGGGAGCCTTGGGTTGGAGGCCCAGATGTCTCAGTCTCTAAATCTGATCAGCTTCTCCCTTCTTCCAAGACTTTCCTGGGGGCTGCTGCTGTGTTTACAAGGTTCCTACCAAAGCAGTGGGAGACCACAGGTGGTGGTGAATTCTCTTTTCTGGGCTGTCCTTTCCCATTGACCCTGTTCTTCCTGCCCTCATTCAGCCCACAGCCCTGGTCCAAGAATGGCCCGGGTTTCAATGCCCAGGACGTAATGATAGGAACACTGGGGCAGAGGAGGGTGTGTGGGAGCGGGCAGAGGAGAGAGGAGCTTGGTTGCCTTGGGGCCCTGGCCTGCTTTAGCCATGAATGACACTTGGACATAGAATAGGGTTGGCCATGTCAGGGCAACCCTAAATCAGCCCTGGGTTTGAGACCCTCTGGGGCGGCTGCGGAGGGGGTAAAATGTCCCCATCTCCTTAGCATCTGCTCAACACAACTGCCAGGGCTGAAGCTAAGGATGCGGGTGTGGAGCAAGAGGGACTCGGTTTTTCTGAGATGAAGCCAGGCCCCTGGGAGGGAGGAGGGACCCTAGTCTCTCCTGTCCATCAGGCCATAGTGTCCTGCTTTAAAACTTTTGCTCTTGGCCACGTGTGGTGGCTCATGCCTGTGATGCCAGCACTTTTCGAGGCCAGGGTGGGAAGATCTCTTGAGCCCAGGAGTTCGAAACCAGCCTGGGCAACATAGTGAGATCTCGTCTCTAAAAGTTAAAATAAATTAAAAAACAATTTCATTGTTTTTGGAAGGCTTTCTTCATCAACTCTCCATGGCACCAAATATCTGATGGCACTTCATCCCACGGAGGGGCTTGGGCTGCAGAGCAGGACTCTGCGTTCTTAAGCCTTTGTAGGCTGTTCTGCTTGTTTCCCTTATTAGATGAATCCCTCCAACCTCCACCCTTCTGCCCCCACCCCCGTTCATCCATTTATGGGCTACCTGTTTAATGTGCAAGACACTTTCCCAGGCAATAGATTGCAAGAATTCACAGAGCTGATGCAGTTCCCCATCAGGCAGTGACCACATCATCAGTAGTTAGACAGCAGGCACACAGAAGGTGCAAGATCCACCAACGCTTGGAGGGTTTCTCCAGCAGGCCTGTGTGTCAGAGCTGAGGACTGAACCTAACGGAGGGCTGGTCTGTGATGGGATCAGCATATGATCCACAGCCTTGTTAGATCAGGAAAGACAAAAGATGGGGGAGAAGGAAAAGCACCAGATCAGAGGACGAGAAGGAAGGGGAATCTCGTCTAACAAACTGCACATTAATATCCTAGCAGCAGTTTGTGTGTGTGTGTGTGTGTGCACGCGCGCATGTGCCGTATGTTCATAATGGAGGCAGAGGGAACAGGTAAGGAGGTAAGTCTTAGCTGAAGCTCTTCCGTCCATCCTAGGGATTCTCAGTTCTGCGTTGGCATTGTGCAACACGCTTGGAGAGCGGCAAACCTGGATGTCATTAGCTCAGTCCCAGCCCTGTCTCCACTCTGCCCAACCATTCAAAATAACCTTTACTCACACATTTTTGTTATGTCCTTGACTTTGTTTTGTCCTTGACTCATACCAAGAAGGAAAAAAATGCCATATGAAATGCTGCTGCGTTTGTTTTAAAACAATTATTGAGGATATAGTCGGTTACAGTGTTTGTTCCTTTAAGGATTTGATTCTTGGGAAAAAGATTTCTCTCTTAAAGTAGTGGTAGGTTTTCCTCTGTGGATATGTCTCTATCGCTAGCTCATCTATCTCCATCATCTCTATCTCTTACCTCCCTCTCTCTCTCATTGTCGATATCTCTATCTCTAGACAGAGACAGCGATGGAGATGTAGAGATATAGATCTAGACATACACATATAAATATAGGTATATATATATTTTTTTGCCTTGGCAGGGAGAAACTCATATCATTTTTTGCAATCATAAAAATAAGCAAAATAAAATAAAAACATTTCATGCTCATTAAACAAATTTTAGCCAATAGAGAATAGTGGAAAACCAAACAGCCAAAATCTTATCAATAAAACCACCTCTGTTTAGTATTTTGAGAGAATTATTATTATATTTTTGGCGATGGGGTTTCACTATGTTGCTTAGGCTGGACTTCAACTCCTGGGCTCAAGCGATCCTCTTGCATCAGCCTCCTGAGTGGCTGGGGGTATAAGTGTGCATCATTGCACCTGCCTTTTGGGAATATTTTTAATAATCTTTTGTACTGTATGTGGGTGTAAAAAACAGAAGTAATCACATGTATGTACAACTTTGAATCCTGCCATTTTTTAGAGATAAATTTAACCTTTGACCATATAGCAACTTGACTCTTGATGCTAACAAATTACCTCTCTTCTCTCTTTTATGGTGTTTATTTTCTATTTCCATTGAACAGTTGTATTTTATTTGTGTCTTTCACTGTAAATCACCTCCAATCTTTTTTTTTTGGGGGGGATGAAGTCTTGGTCTGTCCGCAGGCTGGAGTGCAGTGGCGTGATCTTAGCTCACTGCAACCTCCGCCTCCCAGGTTCAAGTGATTCTCCTGCCTCAGCCTCCCGAGTAGCTGGGACTACAGGCACGTGTCACCACGCCCGGCTAATTTTTGTATTTTTAGTAGAGATGGGGTTTCACCATGTTGGCCAGGATGGGCTGGATCTCCTGACCTCGTGATCCACCCACCTCGGACTCCTAAGGTGTTGGGATTACAGGCGTGAGCCACTGCGCCCGGCCCATCACCTCCAGGTTTTACTAAAAATTAAAGAGTTGGTCCTCTCAGGTGGAGCAGTTCCCCTGATGATAGGGGCACAGGTGGGGTGTCTGCAAGAACTTCAGTCCAGTGCTGGGCTCACCTGGCTTCTGCAGGAGATGGGGCCATTAGGAAAGTGTGAGCTAGAGGATACCATTTTCGCAGAAGCAGGAATTCCCAGGGAGGGAAAATGGTAAGGATGTGGGGGCTGGGAGGGAAAGCGGGTGACACAGCAGGTTAGAGGAGGGTTGAGAAGTATTGCAGCACACTGGGAAGAGCACAGTCTCTGCAGTCACACACCAGCTGTGGGACTTGGGCAAGTCCCTTTATCCCCTGAGCCTCAGTTTCCTCATTTGTCACACATAGATAATAACACATCCTTTGCAAATATGGTATGAGGATTAAGTGAAATAACAGGTGAAGCACCTGGCATATAGAGGACATAAAATAAAAAAGGAGCTGTTTCTATAATTGCATCTTGGAGCTGCAGAATAGCTTGAATATTTGAAGGTCAACTAAAGGGTCTTAGGAATGTTTCAGAAATGCAATGCAATGAAAACCCCTTCCTCCATACTCTAATAGCGGGTGAGTAGCTGACTCTTCCACAGGTGAGTATAAAAGCTGTGTCAACAGATGAAGTAGGGGAAGGCGGTTCTAAGGACATTCAAGGCGAAAGTTGTTGAGATGTACAGGCTTCCCGGGGCCTAGTGCATGAGCACAGGGAGGTAGAGGGTGAGGAGGAGCGGTCTGTGGGACTCTGCTTCCTGTCTGGGATGGGGCGGGCTTGCCGGGTGGGGGTTTCTCTTGCAGTGGCTTGGTGCAACAGTGATGTGAATAGGATTTCCCTGCCTCCCCCAACCCCCCACCCCCAACCCCTACCCCAGTGTTCAGTCCTCACTCCAGGCCCTCTGTTGCCTGGGGCCTCCACTGTGCTGGTCAGTCCCTGTTCAAGCCCCCAGGGTCAATTCTTGCCATTCATCACTCCCTTGATCCAGTCCACATAGCTGAGCACCTTGGTGTAGAAGTCATACCCTTCGCCACACCCTATGCCCCAGGACACAATGCCCGTGGCCACCCAGTGATGGGCATGATTGTCCCATACCACATAGACGCTGCCACTGTCCCCCTGGCAGACACTGTGCCTTTGCGTCTCATCCCCAACACAGAACATATTGTCAGAAAACACCTCGGGTCTCTGTCTCTTTTGGAGCCAGGCGTTGCAGGCCTCCCTGGGAGCTACAGGCAGCCTCGAGTACTTCAGCTCAGTAGTTAGCCAGCCCATCTCCATGCCAAACCCACTGACGTAGCCCAACAAGCCGCTGCGGTAGAGGGTCTCATTATCGGGCAGACAGACCGGGAGGACGTTGGGGCCCAGGGGGATGCTGTGCTGCAGCTCCAGGAGGGCGATGTCCCCGCTAAAGTTATGGGACTCATTCTGACGGTAGTCGGGGTGCACAACGACACGGTGGACAGGGTGGTTCCCCAGTTTCAGCATCTCATCTATGGCTGTGTGGCCCAAGAACACATTCACACTCTGGTTCTTCCTGAGAGAAACACTGTCCTTGGGGTAGATGGTGTGGGCAGCAGTGAGGATCCATCTGTCCCCCAGCAGGGCCCCGCCCCCACGGCCGTGGATACTGGTGAAGGCTTGCCAGGGGAAGTTGCCCAGCTTGGCTCTGGAAGAACCGAGGGTCGTCTGATTCTGGGCAATGGGGGTGACTGGCCGTCCGCAGACTGGGAGAGAGGCGGGGTAGGGGTGACAGTCAGCAGCTGCATCTAGACACACTGATTAAAGACCTGCTTCTCTGAAGTGCTGTGGTAGGGGACGCGTGAAGAGACTCTGGGATCAGGACGTTTTTTTTTTTTTTTTGATATCGAGTTTCGCTCTTGTTGCCCAGACTGGAGCGTACTTGCGCGATCTCGGCTCACTGCAACCTCCGCCTCCTGCGCTCAAGCAATTCTGCCTCAGCCTCCCGAGTAGCTGGGATTACAGGCACCGACCACTACGCCCGGCTAATTTTTGTGTATTTTTTAGTAGAGACGGGGTTTCATCATGTGGGCCAGGCTGGTCTGAAACTCCTGACCTCAGTGTTCCACCCGCCTCTGCCTCCCAAAGTGCTGGGATTACAGGCGTGAGGCACCGCGCCTGGCCGGGATCAGGACTCTTATACTGATGCAGACCCACGGTGTAGACCATGTGGGCAGACAAGGACAGGTAATCAATGCCAAGTGTACGGGGCACCCATCCTGCATGGGACTCAGGACAGTGGACTGAGGGTAGGGAGCACAGATGAGCACATGTTTGGGGCTGGTTCTGCAGGGCTCTCCTTCCTGCCTCCTCAGAGGCATTAAAGCCATTCGTTTGGACCATCCTGGGCCCCCATACTACAGGCAGAGTCTGTTTCAGTGCCTCCTGCCTCAGTTTTGTGTCACTTCCTCATTTGTAACATCTCCCACTACCACCTGCCCTCCAAACCATCCCCAAAGCACTGCGAGTGTTCAGGCTACCCTTAGAGTTTTCCGTGGATCAGATTGGGTTAAGAAGGCAATGCTTTCGGCCGGGCGCGGTGGCTCACGCCTGTAATCCCAGCACTCTGGGAGGCCGAGATGGGCGGATCACGAGGTCAGGAGATCGAGACCATCCTGGCTAACCCGGTGAAACCCCGTCTCTACTAAAAAATACAAAAAAAAATTAGCCGGCCGTGGTGGCGGGCGCCTGTAGTCCCAGCTATTCGGGAGGCTGAGGCAGGAGAATGGCTTGAACCCGGGAGGCGGAGCTTGCAGTGAACCGAGATCGCGCCACTGCACTCCAGCCTGGGCGACAGAGCGAGACTCTGTCTCAAAACAAACAAACAAACAAAACAAAAGAAGGCAATGCTTTCATTCAAAAGCGTGGATCTCAAAAATGGTGGGCTTGAACCCTCATGTATTGCCGGTGAGATGTAACTTGGTGCTGCTGCTGTTGAAGACAGTTTGGTGGTTCCTCAAAAAGTTAAACAGAATTATTATACAATCCAGCAAGTCTACTGCTAGGTATATACCCAGGAGATTTAGAAACGTACGTTGATATAAAAACTTGTACACAAATGCTCATAGCAGCATCATTCATAATAGGCAAGAAATAGAGACAACCCAAATGTCCATCAGTTGAATGAATAAACAAAATGGCGTATCCATAGAAAGGAGTATTATTTAGCCATAAAAATGAAATACTGATGGATGCTATAACAGGAATGAACCTTGAAAACATTACGCTAACTGAAAGAAGCCAGACAGAAATGGCCACACATTATATGATTCCACTGATATAAAATCCATAAAGGCAAATCCATAGAGATAGAAGATTAGTGGTTGTCAGGGGAGAGTTGGAGGTACTGGGCTGTTTTGGGGAAGGTAATGGAAATGTTCTGGAATTAGTGGTAATGGTTTCACAACATTGTGAACACACTAAACATTACTGGATTGTACTGTTTAAAGTGGTTAAGGCTGGGCGCAGTGGCCCAAGCCTGTAATCCCAGCACTTTGGGAGGCTGAGGCGGGACGATCACCTGAGGTCAGGAGTTCAAGACCAGCCTGACCAACGTGGTGAAACCCTGTCTCTACTAAAAATACAAAAAAAAAAAAAAAATAAAATAAAATAAAAAAATGAGCTGGGCATAGTGGCAGGTGCCTGTAATCCCAGCTACTCAGGAGGCTGAGGCAGGAGAATCGCTTGAACCCAGGAGATGGAGGTTGCAGTGAACCAAGATTGTGCCGTTGCACTTCAGTCTGGGCGACAAGAGAGAAACTCCATCCCAAAAAAAAAAAAAAAAAAAAAAAAAAAAAGTGAGCCACTGCGCCCAGCCATGAATTTTATCTCAATAATTTTTTTTAAAATGGTTGACTGTCTGGCACTGTGTGGCATCTAGGTAGGGAGATATTTTAGGAATAGAGAGCCTGTCGGTATATCCTTAAAATGTATGGCACAAAAAGAGGGTTTTCTGTTACTTCAGCTTGTTGGTCTCTCTTCCTCCTTTTCTAGTCCATCTCATGAACGTCCTTCATGCTTTTCCTCAGATATATCTTGACCCCTGAAGAATGAGGAACAAGCTCCCTGCCTGTTCTTTTCTGGGCCTTCTTGATTGCCCTGTTCTTCCTCACCTTCTGCTTCTTATCTTCCTTTCTATTCTAAGGCTTTCCTTTAACCCCTGTGTCCTGTAGGTCCCAGTTGCAGCTGAGGCTTGTTGGGGGAATGGTGCTAGCAGGTGGCTACTCACCAGGCATACACTGAAGAACCTCCTCCCCATCCTGTCTGTCTTTCCAGGTCCCTGGGGTTGCACAGGTGAGTGCCCCTGTGGCGTAAATGAGGAGAGGCAAAGAAATAGGCTCGGAGTTGAAGCTGTTGGTTAACGAAGCAGGTGCTCAGAGGGTGTCAGGCATTTGGGTGGGAATGAGGTGGATGGAAGCCACCCCTCGGCAGGTGGGGACTCACCTGCTGCCGCGGCCTGATAATAGGGCTCCTGGCAGTGGTTCTGGACCTTGGCAGGGTTGTCTCCAGGTGCGTTGATGGCCTCAGAGCCCCTGCTGGCCTCGCTGATGGGCTGACTATAGTTCACAGCTATAGGAAAACAGCACCTAGCACAGACTTGCCAACTGGCAACCCAGGGGCTGATTCTGGCCCATGGCTATACTTGGTTTGACTTGCACAGTGTTTTATTTTTTATTTTTAGTTTTTTTAAAACATTTGAGTTCGTTTTCACTGATCAGATTGACAACACTCAAAGAGTTTGAAGATAACTGTGACAAGCAGGGTAGGGGGGAACAGGCACTTCCATATATGTTTGATAGGTATGTAAATTAGCAAAACCGTTTTGGAGAAAATTTTAGCAATATCAAAATTTAAAATGCAAATATTTTTTAACCTACTCCATTTCTAAAAATTTAGTCTAAAGATATTCTCACACATGTGCTCAAAGATGTAAATGCAAGGATATGCACAGTAGCACCATGTGTGGCAGCAAAGTATCTATCAGGAGGGCTGATGAAATACATTATGACACATCAATCAAGGAGATTTTATGTGGTCATTAAAAATAATGAGTTCGCCAGGTGCGGTGGCTCACGGCTGTAATCCTAGCACTTTGGGAGCCTGAGGCAGGCAGATCACCTGAGGTCAGGAGTTTGAGACCAGCCTGGCCAACAAGGTGAAACCATTATTAAAAATGCAAAAATTAGCTGGGTGTGGTGGCATACCTATAATCCCAGCTACTCAGGAGGCTGAGGCAGGAGAATCGCTTGAACCCAGGAGGCAGAGGTTGCAATGAGAAGAGACTGCGCCACTGCACTCCAGCCTGGGCAATAGAGCGAGACTCTGTCTCAAAAAACAATAAATAAAATAAAAAATAAAAAATAAATGAGTTAGTGCTGTCCATATGGAATGGGATGATCTTTAAGATATATTATTCAGTAGAAAAATACCACGTTTAGAACACTTGCAATATAGACACACACAATTTATCCTCTTCCCGGGAAGAATATCCAGGAAATGGAGAACACAGTTGTTTCTGGGGAGGGCAGCCAGGAGTTAAGAGCCAGAGATCAGAGGAAGACTTACTTTTTAGCATACTTAAAAAAATGATATTTTATCATGTGCACCCTTCCTTCCTTTCCTTCCTTCCTTCCCTCCTTCCCTCCTTCCTTCCCTCCCTCCCTCCCTCCTTCTTCCCTCCCTCCCTCCCTCCTTCCTTCCTTCCCTTCTTACTTTCCCTCTCTCCCTCCCTCCCTTCTTTCTTTCCCTCTTTCTCCTTTCTCGCTTTCTTCCCTCCCTTCCCTTCCCTCTCCCTTTTCCTCCTTCCTTCCTTCCTCTCTTCCTCTCTTTCTCTCTTCTAGTTTCTCCGTGTCTCCCAGGCTGGAGTGCGGTGGCATGATTGTGGCTGACTGCAGCCTCAAACTCCCTGGCTCAAGCAATCCTCCCCCTCAGTCCCTGAGTAGCTGGTACTACAGGTGTGCACCACCATGCCTGGCTAATTTTTAATTTTTTTTGTGGAAACGGGGTCTCACTATGTTGCCCAGGCTGGTCTCCAACTACTGGCCTCAAGCAATCTTCCAGCCTTGGCCTTCCAAAGTGCTGGGATTACAGGCATGAACCACTGCCTCCAGCCAGTATTTATCTTTCAAAAACAAATCTGAGTCATCATTTGAAAATTTATAATTTTACTTAAAAATCTGGATTTTTGGCATCTCTTTAAAAATGAGATGATCTGCAAACACTGGGCCTGTAAATCTGCATGGAAACAACCGCTGGGGGCTCAGCTACGGCTGTCTCTTAATAGGGTTGCTTGCCAGCAGGGGCAGGGCTGGGATCCAGCCCAGGTGTCCCTGAGTCCCCAGCCTCAGCTGTCACTCAAGCTTCCACTTAAGGCTTGAAGATACCAGGGTCATGGCTGGGAACAGAGGCTCCCTCCCTGCACCCCCAGGAGGGACACTCACCCACGGTTTGGTAGAGGGCCAGGAAGCCCTTGTGGAGGTGGGCAGTCTTGTTCTCCGAGGAAGGCTGTGTGCGGAAGGTCAGCCGCAAACTCCTCCCTGAGGATACAAACTCCCTCTGACCAGGGGGCCTGCCCAGAGGGGAGCCTTGCTGACCACAGAACTGGCTTGGATCCGAACCGACGAATGAGATCTGAAAGCGGGAGGAGGAGTGAGGCTGCAGATAGGTGTGGGGTGAATCCGCGCTGCTGGCATCACAGGGGCACATCCTCGGTGTGACTCCTGCCCCATCTAGACGGGCCGTGCCCCTCTGGGGCTCAGAAGGCACCTCACAGAGGCTTCCTCAACTAGCTTCTGGTTCCATTATTGACGCCTGAGTTTCTTCCAGACATAACCACATACTACAATGTTTCTTTAGCCTACCATAATTATTTCACGTAACCCACTATATTTTCCTTCTTTTAAGAAGTTCCTTGGGAACACCAGGGTTCCCATGGGAGTCACTGGATTATGCATTCTAAGAAGGCAAGGACTACTTCTGTCTTTTTCTCCACTGAGTTCCTGGTGCTCAGCGTGGTACCTACAGCACCACAGCGTTGACTCAATGAACATGGGCATAAGCCCCTCCCATCCAGCTTCTCCTCCATCCCCAAAGCCCATCCCATCACCTTCCACTTCTGTGAGTAACTTTCTTTGGCCAACATCTGTGAGGCAGTAATACCCTCTGCAGAGACTGAGCCTCTGGGGTCCCTGCCTTTTCCTGCTTTCCTTCTTTTGGGGTGCCCCTCCTCTTATCCCATGCACTTTGTAAACGAAGCTCTCACAATGTATGAAAACCTAAGGACACAGGTGTCCACAGTCCAGCTGCACTGGATGGTGTTGCTTCATCGGGCAGCTTGTCTCTGTTTCAATGCCCTTTTGACTGTCTCGCCTCTGCTCAAATACCTTCCTGTGGGTTCCTTAACTCAAGGAAGGGGCCATGCTTCCTGCTTCATCTCTGTTCCAGGCACACAGCTCACTGCTTAGCTCATTTTATTTCTGGTTTTCATACTGATCCATATATCCTAGGTTTTTGCTAGCTCTCCATTCCCTCATTCTCCACAAGTCCCAAATTCATTCAAGACTTCATCCAGACCATGTCATTATGATCAGAGTAACTGGGTAAAATTTGCGATGAAGAAAATTTCTCAATCGCCCCAAATACCTGGTTCAGACAAATCCCAATACTGGTCTTTTGCTTAGAATATCAGCAAATGTAACTCCTGGCATTTAAGAGGCCTGCTTTTTGGGGAAGAAGCAATTTGATGTAGGAAATGGTGCTCAACTGCTCTACTTGGTTGTAAAACCCTCCAGCTTTCTTTTTGCCCTTTTCCCTGAATTGTTAGCGAAATACAATTGCTTAGGATTCTAACTAGGAAAGTAGAGTGGACACAGGACTGAGTCCTAAGACCCTTAAATTCTAGACTTTGCTACTAATTCCATGTGTGAAATGGGGAGTTTCTGAAGCACCCAAGATCTCAGTTTCCTCTCCTATATAATGGTCTGTGTGGCCTCTTCCAGCATGTTCTATGGCATCTTCCAGAGTCTGCACTAAGAGCAGTGGTGAGGATGGATACTCAATACCTGCTCCTTCAAAATTCATTATGTTGTGTGTCCTGCACACACATAAGCTTGCATTTTATTCACTCTCTCACTTATTCCTTTAACACATTTACTGGTTGTGTACTATGTGTAAGATACTGTGCTAGGTGCTGGGGACACAGATGTGACAAAGGCACAGTTCTGCTCCCGAGGAGCAGTGGCTGAGGACGCTGACAAGTAAAAAAATAAACTAGGTTATAGTGTGCTGAATTCTGCCTTTGAGGGGTGTGTGTGTGTGACTTACTCTGGGAGGAATCCTTTTTCTGAACTTGAAGTTTCTCAATGACAAGAAAAAAGGCCAGGATTAAAAATCTCCATGATTTAAGAGGAACGGGACTCATGGTAGGTGCTCAACAGACATAGGCTGAATTGAACAAAGTATCATCCTGACTGGTTAAGTCTGAAGCAATAAATGCATGCATATATTTCCTCTCCCATCTCAACCCCAGTCGTATGACAGCAAAGGGATAAAATGGTACACATAACCAAGGACAAAAAAGGGAGAGAAGATGACAGCAGATGACAGGTGTCAACACACTTTGGAAGATGGAGTGGAGATGCAAGTGATAACTTGAGTTTGCAATGATGGGAGCCAACATAAAGCAAGCAGGTTCTCATCACAGAACCAGGGGAAGTTTTAAAAATTGGGGGAATCAAGATAGGGATGAGGGAAGGGCTGGCACGGGGATGGCAGACCAGAAGCCTGTGAGGGAGACTGCAGAATCCTAGAATCTCTGTGCACCCAGGCAACTCCCTCTGGCCCACCCTGGCAGAAGGCATGAGCTTAACAAGAAACCCTGGACTTGAGGCCCCGCGGCACACTTGATAGAGGGGGCGAAGGCCAGTGCAGCAGGTCCATGAATAACATCGTCGTTTCATTATGACGTTGACGAGAAAAAATATTGCCCCGTGTCCGGGGCCACTCTCTGGGTGAAGTCTGCACATTCTTCCCATGTCTTCAGTGGTTTTCTCCAGGTCCTCTGGTTTCCTCCCACATCCCAAGCTGTGCCTGCTAGGCGACCTGGTATGTCTCCACGGTCCCAGTGTGAGTGAGTATGAGTGTGTGAGTGCGTCCTGAAACAGGATGGTGTCCTGTCCAGCACTGGTTCATGCCTTGCATCCTGAACTGCTGCAACAGGCTGTGGCCACCCGTGACCCCAAACTGGAATAATTGGGTAAATAATCTTATTCGTTTTTATTAACCTTTCTTACATGTAGGCATAGTTCACATGTATTTCAATATTTAATATTAGAAGTGTTTGGGGTCTTTATTTAGAGGTTTGGTGATGTTTCTGTGATCAGTAATTGCTGTAGAAACTTCACTCTTGTCTATATCAATTAGCTCTATGGCCAAATTGGTTTCATTCTATGTTATTTCTCTTAAAGTCATACTTTCCAAGAACCTATGGATGATTTTAAGTGAGGACTCACTGTACCAAAAACAGAAGGATTAAGTGAAAGTCTACCTGCCAAACAGTGAGCTGCATCTCCCTCCACCAGGCCCTTTTCTCAGCTTGTTGACCAGAATGCTGGGGTCCCTGAGCTGGAATCTGCAGGAGTCCTCTCAGGGGAAACTGGCTGCCCCCAAATAAAATGCTTTTACATCCTGACAGTTGGGAGGCCCCCAGTGGCACATCTAGGTCACCTTGTCGATAACCCTATTTTCAAACCTATCATTTGACAAATTTTAGCTATCCACACAGAACTTCCAATCAGTATTTTAGTGCTCCACTCTTTTTTTTTTTTCCTTGAGACAGAGACTCACTCTGCACCCCACAGGCTGTAGTGCAGTGGCCTGATCTCGGCTTACTACAACCTCCACCTCCCAGGTTCAAGCGATTCTTATGCCTCAGCCTCCCAAGTAGCTGGGATTACAGGCGTACACCACCATGCCTGCCTAATTTTTGTATTTTTAGTAGAGACGGGGTTTCACCATGTTGGCCAGGCTGGTCTCAAACTCCTGGCCTCAGGTGATCTGCCTGCCTCGGCCTCCCAAAGTGCTGGGATTACAGATGTGAGCCACTGCGCCCGGCCTTAAATATGAATGGACAGCCAAGTATTATCAGATATCGTAGGAAAGTCTCTAACACAAAAAGCAGAGACCAAAACAGACAAACGGTAAAAAAGAACTTGGATGAAATAGACCCACTATAGAGAACAGAAGAAACATCTAAAAATAATCCCAAAGGAGGGAAAGGAGTTGATACTGCATCAATGAAACAAGAACAATACTCTATAAAAAGGCACATTTAGAAAATTAGAACGAATCCTTAGAAATGAAATAATATGTCAGTGGAAAGAAACCATTAACTAAAAGATGGGGATTTAAAGATGAGAAAATTTCCCAGGAGGCAGAACAAAAGAGATGGTAAATAGAACAAAACAGATAACAAAGCTAGAGAATCAATCTAGAACATACAACAGCTGAATTATAGGAGAAAGAGAAACTAAGGAAATGAGATATCTGGAAATTATTTAAAAAATAGCACAAGAACATTCCTAGAATTGAAGGACTAGATTAAAAGAGGCTCTAGATTAAAAGAAATCTGCACAATGAGTAAAAAACCACGTGTATCAAGAGACATCATAATGAAAGTCCAGAATACTGGTAATAAGGAAAATATTCCAAAAGTTCTAGAGAGAGAAAACAAAGGATTAGGAATGATAAGGGCATCAAACTTCTTAACAAAGTCTAGACCTAGAAGACAATATCATCAAAATTCTGGAAGAAAAAGGTTTCCAATCTAGAATGCTATACCCAGATCAACTATCCCTCCACTGTGAGGGTAGAACTGAGACATTTAGACATATATAAGATCTTCTAAAATTCACTCTAAAATACCCTTTCTAAGGAAGCCACTGGTGAAGGTGCTCCTCCAAAATGGGAGAGTAAACCAAAAAAGAGAAAGGTATGGGATTCAGGTTCAGCACAGGTAAAGGAAATCCCCAGAAAGAGGGAGAAGAGAACTCCCAGAATGTGTGACGGCTTAGAGAGCAAAGAACTCAGGCTGTGAAAATAAATCGAGAGATCTTCAGGAGGGATGTCACCAATTAAAAGGAGGACCGATAGACTGAAATTCATGCTTGAGTATTTCAGAAGAAGATTTACACTCCTGGTTAAGAGTCTGGTGAGATTAGTTACAGAGACAACTAAGCAAACTAAAAAGCAAAACAAAAACAAACACCCCCCACCAAAAAACAAAACAAAACAAAACAAAAAAACTCCATGTAACTATTGACTCCTAGGAAACCCAAAAGTTGGAGAAGAAAAGAAATATAATTATTTTATGCTATGTGCTCAGATGTGAATATTTTACAGTCATAATAATGTAAATAATGAATAAAGATTTAACTAAAAATGATAATATAGGTAAACTGGCAGAATGAGGAGGGGAAATGTGGGTGGTGAAGACTGAAGACAGATAAAGCTAGTCCTTATCTTCTATACTGTAGTTGAGCATTAATAGAAAATACGTAAAAATGAAAGACAAATAAGCATGTTATTTATACATATGAAGTTAAAGACCAGATGAAACAGCTACATGAATTGGCAAATGACTGCTCCTGAGGAGCAGCACTCAGGGGCGGGGAGGAACAGCTTGGAGACTGCTGTTATTCATAAACCTTTTTAAAAACCTTTTTTTTTTTTTGGAGACAGGGTCTCACTCTGTCACCCAGGCTGGAGTACGGTGTCATGATCAGAGCTCACTGCAGCCTCTACCTTCCAGGCTCAAGTGATCCTCTCACTTCAGCGTCCCTTGTAGCTGGGACCACAGGTGCGTGCCACCACACTTGGCTAATTTTTAAATTTTTTTGTAGAGATGGGGTCTTGCTATGTTGCCCAGGCTGGTCTCAAATTCCTGGGCTCAAGTGCTTCTTTCGCCTCAGCCTCCCAAAGTGCTGGGACTACAGACATGAGCTACTGCGCCCAGCCTTAGAAAACTTTAATTAAAAAACAAAAAGTCTTACAACTATTATGTATCCATAATAATTAAAAATTTTAAAATTAAAAAATAAAGTTCAAAAATTTATGTCATTTTGATATAAATAAAATTTAAATCAAAAGATAATGTGCTCTTTTTATTTTTATTTATTATTTACTTATTTTTGAGATGGGGTCTTGCTATGTTGCTTAGGCTGGCCTTGAACCCTGGGCTCCAGCCCTCTGATCCTCCAGCCTCAGTCTCCTGACTATACTGCTGGGACTGCAAGCTTGCATCACTCCATCAAGTACTGTTTTTAAAATGTCCTTATTCTGAATAAGGCTTTGGCGTTAGAAGTTTTGTAATAGCTCTTCCAAGGTAAGTGTGAACGGTGACTTAATCTTTTGTTATTATTTGTGTCCAGCTTCCTCACCTGATAGAGCAGGCACTCAACAAATACATGATGACATATTTTTAACAACCAATATGTGCGTCCCTGCCCCTGGCTCCATAGATTTGCAAGATTTGTGTGTCCATTCATAAGCCTTCCAAACGCAGGGCCTGCTTGCTGCCCTCTTTGCTCTGTGGGGCCCAGATGGCAGCCCCGGAGGCGCTGGTGGGAGGCTGTGTCCTGGGGTCCACCACTGCTCCCCGGTAAGCCAAGCCCGACTGCCCCTACATGGAAAATTCATCCCTCCTCCAGATGGGGGATTCAGGGCACCGCCACTTCCCACAACCCCGGGAATCTCCCTGGCCACAGTCCTGGCGGGACCCCCCCCATCCCCAGCTCACTGTGACAGAGTCCCCTGCACAGTCCTGGGACGGCTCCAGGTCGAAGTCCTGGAAGACGAGCCTCACAGCAAAGCCCTCTGGAGCCTTGATGTCCGTGCTGCTCTCTTGGCCTTTGCCATACGGCTCTGGGTACCCGGGGGATGTCAGCTGCTGGGGTAGCTCTTGGGCCAAGAGGACGGAGCCCCGGGTTGGGCAAGCCTGGAGGACTCCCCAGAGAAGCAGCCACCACCTGTGAGTTGGGGGGAGGGCAAGGTGGGGCCGCGCAGCTATGGCCGGAAGCCTGTGGGTGTGGGAGGAGCGGGGGAGCCGCGCTAGGACTCAGAGGCCTCGCGAGGCAGGGCTAGAAGCTGTGGCCTCACCCTTGAGGCCCGGGCACTTCCCGTCTCCTCCCTTGCTCCCCTTCCTCACCCCAATCCCTACAGCCTCCCGCGCAGCCTGAGCTCTAGGATTGTGGGTTTTCCATCCTCCGAAGACATCACCTTTGCTCATCTCCCAGGAGAGTCTCGTCCAAAGGAGGGGGGTGCTTTCTGCTTCAGCAGATCCCACCCCACCCTGGGATCCGAGGGAGCAATGGTGGGGCGAGTGAGGGTCTGCCGTAAATATCCCCCGACCACCCTCTGGGAAGGTGCTAGAGGCCACAGGCAAATTTCAGTCTCCCCATGGAATATCTGCTGTGCTGCTGCTGCTGCTGCTGCTGGTGTGTGTATGTGGGGGAGGTGTGTGTGTGTGTGTGTGTGTGGGGGGGGGGGGGATGTGTGTGTGGGGGGGGTAGGGTGGGGGGAGGGAGGGTTTGCGGCCACCCACCCTTTCTCTTCCCCTCCCGTCCTCTTCCCTCCTCCTCTGCCGGGGCCACACTCACATTGCGCCTGGACAGCCTTTGGAGTGAGGGCTTCTCCAGAGATATTTCCCCCACACTCTGGGTCCAGGCATCTGGAACTGGACATCTGGGACCTGCGAGAGAACTGGCCCAGGATAGGGAACAAAAGGTGAAGGCCGGTGGGGGAGGAGGAAGTTCCTGGAAATGTTAAGCAACTCCACAGTTCCCCTTCTCCAATTCTCCGGGCTGAGCGCCACCTGCCGTCTGACTCAGGAACAGCGGGCCCGCCGCAGCTTAGGGGAGAAACGTCCAAAAACCTCGCTGGCCCTCAGAGGTCAGGGTGGCAGGGCACTGACTCGACCCTTTTGTACTATTTAACATTAATTTTTGCCATGTGTGTAGGATGGCTCCTTGTGAGTTATGGCTGCTGCCTTCAATCAGCCATGTCTCTTCCTCCCCGACCTTTCCGTTCACGACATACCCGGGGAGCCTCCCTCTTGTAGAATTGAAGTTTGTGATCCTTGAACTTGAGCTTTCTCTTCCTTTCCCTCCTCCCCAAGCAGGGGTGGGGGACATGCGCTTAGGTGGTCTTTTGAATCCTATTCACAACCTCTGGAGGCTGCTTGTCCAGCATGGTCAGGGCTGGGGTCGAGCCCAGGTGTCCCTCAGTCCCTAGTCCCAGTCATCACTCAAGCCGTCACTCAAGCTTCTTTAGGCAGATACTAGAGCCCCTGCCTGCTCTCACCGCTCCCCGAGGAAGGACACTCACCCACAGCTTGGTAGGAGGCCAGAAGGCTCTTATGGAGATGGGTGGTCCCATCCTCAGAGAAGGCAGGTGTGTGGAAGGCCTTACGTTGTATGCACACACAAATGCATGTGCGCGCGCACACACACCTCTCAGAGAAGAATCTATTGCTTCCCCCATTTTGCATATAGTAATATGGAGGCAAGTTACAGACCCAAACAGGGTGTGCTCTGCATCTTTGGTTTTTCTAGGCTAGAGAGATTTAGGAGAGCCACAGTCTATGGCTACAAGGAGATGATAAGAGAGTGATGGCCAGGACAGATGCAATGTCTCAGGTACAGTCTTGAGATCAAGCCTACCTGTCTGCCACACCCCAACCCCAAACACAACTGGGGATGATCTCCCATACCCATCTTCGAGGAGTGGGCCTCTCTGACTAGGACTTCTTTCCTCCCCTGAGACCACTGAAACCTGCTCTCTCATAGAACTCTTAGGGTCACCTGGAGCACCTTGGGAGCCAGAGATGCAGCCAAAGAGTGAACAATGGTACCAATCCCAAGACCCATGTGTTAAGAAGAAACCAGCCAAGACTCAGATCAGGATTGGGGAGTCCACCCCTCGTTTCCCTTCAGAGCATTATTTCCTTGTTTGCTAAGAGGGGCAGGAACTGGAAAACTCAGGCTAGCCCATCTGAGAAGACTTTCCTGGAGATGAGCTGGAGGAGGGAGGAGTAAGGCCTTGGAAGGAAACTCCAGGACAGGTAGGGTGACCGACTGTTCTGATTTGCGTGGGACCGACGGGTTTCCCAGGACATGAGGCTTTCCGTTTTAAAATGAGGGAAGTTCTGGGCAAGCCAGGACTGGTGGTCACCCTAAATGGATAGGGGTTAAAGTGCTGGAGTGAGGCTGGGTGAGAAAGAGGACAGGGAGCCAAGAGGGTGGGGAGGCAGTGATGCACCGGCAGCCCCAGGTGACTGGGCAGTCCAGGGTCTGGATGTGGTCCCTGTTTGGGGTAATCCAGCACTCTGAAGATGAGGGCCCACCTTGGTCTCACCTAGGTGGCGTGTGCGGCTGCAGCATGAGTTAGGGTCAAGGGCAAGGGGAGGAATGGCTGGTGATGTGAGACTGGAGAAGGAGCTGATGGCTCTGTGCATAGCTGGTCACTGCAGGCCCCTGTGGGCTAGGGCTGAGCTGTGCCCCGCTGTGTTTTCAGCACCACCTCCCCTACACTGGGACCTCGTCTCTAACTGGCAGAGTGGTCAATGAAAAAAAGGGCATGCCTTGGCACATCATGGTCAAACTGCTAAAAGCCAAAGACAAGAGAAAATCTTTTCTTTTTTTTAATCCCATCCTAAAGACTAGACAGAACAATATTTTCAATGTCACTCTTTTCTCATCAAAACCAATATAGACCAGAAGACAGTGGAATATCTCTAAAATGCTGAAGGAAAAAAAAAGTCAACTCAGAATTGTTTTTCTAGTGAAAGTATTCTTCCAGAATGAAGATGAAATAAAGCTATTTTCAGATAAAAGAAAACAGAGATTCTTGTCGCCAGCAGACCTCCACTATGAGAAGCGCTAAAGAAAGTTCTTTAGGACGGGCACGATAGCTCACGCCTATAATCCCAGCATTTTGGGAGGCCAAGGTGGGAGGATTGCTTGAGCTCGGAAGATGGAGGCTGCAGTGAGCCATGACGGTGCCACTGCACTCCAGCTTGGGTGACAGAGTGAGACGCTGTCTCAAATTGGAAGAGCAGAGCTGCAGACAGGAATAAGAAGAACGGTAAATTTGAAGGTAAATATAAAATACGATTTTCTTTTTAATGTCTTTAAAATATGTAGAACTGTTCCAGGCAAAAATTATAACATTGTATTGTGAGGTTTATAACATATGTAGCTGTAACATATATGAAGACTGTAGTATAAAGCAGGGGTCCCCAACCCCTGAGCCGTGGACCAGTATTGGAGGTGAGTGGTGGTGAGCAAGCAAAGCTTCATCTGTATTTGTAGCTGCTTCCCATCACTCACATTACCATCTGAACTTCGTCTTCTGTCAGCAGCAGCAGCAGCAGCAGCATTAGATTCTCATAGGGGCACGAACCCTATTGTGAACTATGCATGGAGGGATCTAGGCTGTGTGCTCCTTATGAGAATCTAATGCCTGGTGACCTGTCACTGTCTCCTATCACCCCTAGATGGGACCGTCTAGTTGCAAGAAAACAAGCTCAGGGCTCCCACTGATTCTACATTACGGTGAGTTGTATAATTATTAATATTTCATTATATATTACAATAACAATAATAATAGAAAGAAAACATGCAATGAATGTAATGTGTTTGAACTATCCTGAAACCATCTCCCTCTGGCCCCATCCCTGGTTTGTGGAAAAACCGTTTTCCATGAAGCCAGTCCCTTGTGCCAAAAAGGGTGGGGACTGCTGGTATAGAGGACAAGGGGGTGGACTCATGGTTACAAGTTTCCTTCATTTCACATGAAGTGGTACAATAGGAACTGAGAAAACTGGAGTTTAGGATGCAGACTAATTCCCAGAGCAGCGGGTCTCCACCCTGTGGTGTGGGAAGACCCACAGGCCCTAAGATCCTTTCACGGGGTCTGTGAGGTAACAAAATGACTTTCATAAAAATACTCAGATGTTCTTTGCTTTTTTCCCTCTCATTCTGTCATGGTATATGGTGGATTTACAGAGGCTACGTGATGTGCAATGATTCATCCGTGGCAGTGAGCGGGATGCGTGCTTGTGTATCTTTGTGATTTAAAATGTTCTCAATTTTGATTTCTAGTACAGTGACTATTAATAGATATACCCTACATAAGCCAAAGCTCTCTGGAGTTCTCAATAATTTTTTAAGGGTATAAAGTTTGAGAACAGTTGCCCTAGGGTGACTACTAGTAGAAAAAAGCAAAGAAGTATAGCTGAAAGGCCGATGTAGAAATGAAAATGGATGTCTGAATTTGGGGGGACTTTTTTCTAATAGGGTAACCTATTAGAAATCATCCTGGTCTGTCTAGAAATGAGGTTTTCCTAGGACATGAGGTTTTCAACACTAAAACCAGTTAAGTTCCCCGACACGCCAGGACAGTTGGTCACCTTATTGCTAACACTTCAATCATTTACTTCAGTTCCCTTTCCCTTACCCAAGTGTCCCTAAAGAGCATAGGCCACCTCTGCTCTATGTTAAGGCCCCCAAGTGCAGGTAAGGGAGCTGGGATTCCTGGCATGCTAAGTAAAGGTAGCAAGCTACCAAATTGTAAGGATACTATGTTTACAAATATAGAAAGCACCCGTGAGAAAAATCTAAAATAACTGCTTCCTATTAGAGTATGGGGTTGTGGATGATTTAAACCATGTTTCTCTGTTTAGTAAAACTTCTTTAATATTATTTAATAACTTTGATAGTTACAAAATAAATGTATCTGAAATTATAATTGTGACCAGATGGTCCTTTCTGAGCCAGACAGGATTAGAGAATGAGGGGATGGATCCTTTAATCGGCATCTTTAATCCACATGATTAATGAAGAAGTTTTTGTCCTTGCATATAAACTTAGGCCAGGCATGGGTCTTTCCAATCTTAGCTGGGCAAACAAGGTTGGGGTGCTCCAGTGACTTTATTTTTGGTTTTATTTTTGAAAATCGTGTTGGTGCTGCCCCCTTCTGTCCTGAAAGGGGAAGGGCAGGACAACAGAAAGTGCCTTGGGGCTTCCTGGCCAGGGAGTTTCTCTGCAGCCTTCATGAGCCCCCAGCATTTAGAGAGGAGCTTGCCCTCTCCTGGAATCCAAACAGCCACAGGAGAGCCCAGGCAGAGGAGTCTGGGGCAGCACGAGCCATTTCTGTCCACAGCTTCCCTGTCTTATCTCTAGATACCTTGCCCTGGGCTGGGACACGTGGGGGCTTTTGTGCCCAGTGCCAGGTGAGGAGGGAGATACAGGAGCGAGGTGAAGAGCAGCAGGGGTGATGAGGCGGCTGAGTCAGCCAGACTGGGACCCTTTGCTTCTGTCTGGCATGGCCAGTGGAGATGTGGACAGCCCAGGGCAGAGGGGTGACCCTAATGGGTCACACTCCTCCACCCCCAAGTTATCTCAGGCTTTCATGTCAGGGCCTTGACTTCCATGCCTTATGGACACCTAGGCAGTCGCTAGCTCAACCCCAATGGAGTGTCAGCCACTAGGTTTAGCCCTTAAGCCCATCCTCCCTACTCTGCCAGTATCTAAAATCTCAATCAATCGTGCCCCTTCCCAGGTTAAAACTTTTCAATGACTGTGCCTCCTGATCCATGAGATGAAGCCCCAGCCACTTGTTTGTCTCGTCAGGTTCTTCCTTCATAATCAGGCTCTGCATGACTTTCTGGCTTCGCTCTCCACCGCTGCCGCCTCGCATGTGTGTTCCAGGCGCGGTCATGATGCTATGGCTTCACAAACATGCCTTGCGTTTGCATGTGTGACTCCCCGACCAATGCCGTGTTCTTCAGTCATCAGCATAACATGCTGCTTAAAGGAGTGGGCTTGTGTGCCACACTCACCAGGTTTAAACCCAGGCTCTACCATTTAAAAGTTTGGTGACCAAGGCCAGCTTACATAATTTCTCTGTGCCTCTTAACATCCTCATCTGAAGAACAAGGATGAGGACAACGGTACCCACACCAGAGGGTTGGTGTGAGGGTTAAATGAGTTAATAACCAGAATTGCTTAGGGCAGTGTCTGTCATTTGGCAAACAATAAATATCATTACTTGCTTAGGAAGCAGAATAGAATAGCAAAATGGTTAGATCAGTGGTACTCAACAAGGAGCAGTTTTGCTCCCCAGGGGATATTTGATGATATCTAGAGATTTCTTTTTTCCATTACTGGCATTTAGTGGATACAGGCCAGTGATGCTGGTAAGCATCCTAGTGCACAAGGCAGCAGGTCCCACAACAAAATGTTACCTGGTCCTGAACGTCAATAGGGGCGAGGTGGAGAAACTGAGGGTTGGGTGGTCAGGCTCCAATCTGTTTGGGTTCAAATCCCATCTCTGTCTTTTATTTCATGTATAACCTTTGGCAAATTACTTAAAATTCTCTGTTCCTTAGTTTTCTTATCTGTAGAATGGGGACAATAACCTGTGCTTGGGTTCCTGAGAAGAGTCAGCGTTCGGCATGTAGTACTCATGCCCTGGATGCCGGCCATTTTTACTCACCTCTCTCCCCGTGTCCTCTCCTCTGGGAAGCCCTCTTTGACTCAGAGAAAATGACTTTCCCTGTGCTCATGGACTCTTGATGCATGATAACCTCCTGCCCGTGTGTCTGTCTTTCCCACAGGGCTGTGGGTTCCTTGAGGGAGGAATTTTGTCCTGCAGGCTGTGGCAGCCCTAGGACTCAGCACATCTAGGTGTCCACCTGCGTCTGTGGGTGAGTTCTTGGGATGGGGCAGAGTGGGGAGTATGCACCAGGTTTTGGAGTTTTCAAGGTGTGCAGGGAGGAAGAGAAGCAGGTGGTAGACAGGTGCATCTGGGAGATGGGGTTGGGTAGAGTTTGAGGGTCTGAACACGGCCCTGCCCCATTTACTATTCTCTAGTGAGAAGCCTGATCATTGCCACGTGACCGCCTCCTCACTGTTGGTACCTGGTTGTAGAGAGCAGCTCTGTGAGTAGAAGGAGAAGGATCCTGCCCTGGAGAGGGCCTGGCTGGTCCTCACCTGGGGCCTATCATTTAGTAACAGGGCTTCTGGAAGTGGTAGCAGATCTGGGCCTGGTGGGCATTCTGCTTCTCCTGGGTGGCAGCAGAAGTCCCTAGGTGGCAGGCTGGGGACTGCCCAAAGGTTCTGACTCAGGAAGAGCACAGTGGAACAGAAAGCCCTTGTACCACCTTCGCTGCTGTATTCGTCCATTCTCACACTGCTGTACAGAACTACCTGAGACTGGGGAATTCATGAAGAGAAGAAGTTTAATTGACTCACAGTTCTGCGGGCTTAACAGGAAGCATGACTGGGAGGCCTCAGGAAGCTTATAATCATGGCAGAAGGCGAAGGGGAAGCAAGGACCTTCTTCACATGGCAGCAGGAGAAAGAGAAGAAGGGAGAAGTCTACACACTTTTAAACAACCAGATCTCATGAGAATTCCATCGGGAGACAGCACTAGGGGGATGGCACTAAACCATTAGAAACTGCCCCCATGATCCAATCACCTCTCACCAGGCCCCTCCTCCAACACGTGGGGATTACAATTCCACATGAGATTTGGTTGGGGACATAGAGCCAAATCCTATCAGCTGGTATCCTCCTTTTTCCAGGCTTTAGATATGGCACAACCTGATGGCTTCTGCATAAAGCCTCCTCTCATCTGCATCTCTCCACCTCACTCACCCTCTTTTCAGCAAAGAACCCTCTGGCTCTAGTTTCACTGTGGTGGTCCTGGGAGAGGTAGAGAAGACCCAGAGGCTCCTTACCCTGGGAGGTCAAACTGACCATCCAGGTTTGGCTCTTCCCTGCTGGTGTGTCTAGAACACCATCTTCCCCTTATTGCTGTGGACTTCAGGGCTCTGCTGCTCTGTCCTCCACAGAACTTGTCAATCAGCTTCCTACCAGCTAAGATCTGGTGCTGTCTGATATATCCTCCCTGCGGCTTGTCACTCATGCTGTCTAATGGCGTGAGGTGCATTGAGTTGTATTCTGATGTCTTTGTCCTTTTGAAGCCACAGAGTAAGGTCACACAACTTTGAAACGAGCAGGGTACCATCTGAAGATGCTGGACATTCCTTTTAACAATTACCTAGGGGAGAGGCAGTCCTCAGACAGGACTCAGGTGGGTGGGCCTCAAAGAGGAAGGGAAAGGGGGCAGCTGCCTGCCTCTGAACTTCACTCTCTAGACTCGTGGAAGGGTCTAGCTTAGAGCTAGGATGGGAGGGCTGTGAGCACTGAGGATGGAGTCATGCCTTTTTGTGACTGGACACATTTTTACTGCCCGAAGTCATCTACTGCCCCCACCCCCCAACCCCATTCTTCTGCCCACTTAGCGAATATTGAGGTTATGGTCAGGATGGGGTCATTTGCAATGAAATTCAAGGTTGAGACTATGTTGCAGTTATCTGTCTGCTTGTAAAAAGTCACCCCCACATTTTGTTTAAAACAGCAAGTATGTACTATTTCACACAGTTTCTGTGGGTCAGGAATCCAGAAGCGGCTGAGATGGGTAGTTTAGGATCAGGGTCTCTCACAAGGCTTTGGTCCAGGTGCAGGCTGCAGTCCTCCAGAGGCGGGACTGGGGCTGGAGGTCTGCTTCCAGACGGTCACTCACATGGATGTGGGCAGGCGGCCTCAGTTCCCTGCCACATGGCCCTCCTCATAGGACGCTTGAGTGTCCTCGCGGCATAGCAGCTGGCTTTCCCCAGAGTGACCCAAGGTGGAAAGAACAAGGCAGAGGTGACAGTGTCTTTTATAAGCCAGCCTTGGAAGTGACGTAGCATCATTTCTGCCTTATTCCATTGGTCACACAGACAACCCGATGTGGAAGGAGACATCACAAGGACAGGAATACTGGGAAGCAGGTATTGTTGGTGGCTGTCTCGGACGCTGGTTCTCATAGAAGTAGATGTATTATTTTAGTACAATAAGTGCAGACGATCAGCTAGCAGGATGTTATTTTTGCTGGGTATGGTTGTATTTCAGGTGCATTTACCCAAATCCAGAGTACCTTTGGGGGCTCTGACCCTCTCCTCCTCCACCTTGAGATCTGTAGAGGCCTCTCGTTCATCCCACCAAGAGCAGGACTGGACAGATGAAAGCATGGCTTACAGGAGGCCAACACAATAGGAGGTAGGGCTTTGGGAAGACAGCATAGGTTTCAAAAGAACCAAGAAGCTGTTGAAAAGGAGAGCAGATGGGCAGGGAAGACAAGTCCCAGATAGAATGCCCTTTGCAACCTAGGGGGAGCTGACCACAGTGTGCATCCTGACACTCGAAGACAAGGTCTCCATCAGCAGATTGCCCAACAGAACAAGTTCAGAGCCCAGAGATCCCAGTTCCAGATCTCAGATCTCCCACACCCTGTGGGCTCTGTGTGGACTTTCGTCCTGAAACAAAGTCCTTTAGTAAAGGACTCTTTAAATTCACTCCATCTGTGCTTTGCTTGCCAATAGCAGGGTGCGTCTGTTACATACTGGACTATCCCTTCCTTCAATATGTTCATGGCTGAGGCTGCATTTGTGCCTCAGATAATCAAGGTGAGTATAACTCTCTGTTCTGTTTCCCTTTTGTTTCCTCCAAGACTTTAATAAACCCTCATTCAAGAGGCCCACCTTGTCCCACCTGTGCTTCTCAGAAAAGAAGGAGTGGTGGGGAGACAGGCTGGGGTGGGGGCTTTGCCACCTGGCTGCCCCTTCACCTGTGGGTTCTTGCTCCAATGAGGACCCAGCAGGATAAGCTTTAGTTTCATTAAGGGTGACAATAGTTTCCTTACAGCTGGGTCAAGGATATGAGCGAGCCTCTTCCGAAAACAGCCGGGAAGGGAGAGGAATCCAAGAGGAGGAGCAGGTGGGAAAGACAAGACAGAAGGTGGATCGGGACCAGGCCTGGGAGGGAGCACAGGCACACAGAAGTGAAAGAATTCGCCTGAGGTTACACGACTCCTCGAGCGGTGCCTTTAGCTCTGCATTGTGCCACCTGCCTGGGTCAAGGAAGATGCCACCGCTGTTGTTCTGTGTACAGAGAGGGAAAGGAAGATGCTGGCTCTCAGCAGTTCTATAGAACAGAGGATGGAGAGGCCACACGACAATAGGCACACGCACCGTACATTGAAGAAGTGCATGCAAGACAGAATCGTGTGGGATATGCACACTTGCGTGGAAGAAAAACTGTTCCATTCACATTGAGGTAGACCCTCCATCTATGACTCATCTGTAGGGCAGGGGTGTGGGCACATACTGAGGCATGAATGGAGGGGAAGCTGGAGCTCTGCTGGTGTAGAAAGGCGATGGGATATGCTCGCTTCAGCAGCACATATACTCAAATTGGAAGGATACAGAAGAGATTAGCATGGCCCCTGTGCAAGGATGATATGCAAATTCATGAAGTGTTTTTAAAAATCATTTTAGAAGAAGAAGAAGAAGAGGAGGAGGAGGAGGAGGAAGAAGAAAGATGGTGAGATATCCTGCAGGAGACCAGGGCCAGGAGGGTGGAGGCCTCTCAAGAAGAGGGAAGCATGAGGAAGCTCCAGGGCAGGGTGAGGGCGCTGGTTCCTGTATTCAGCTGTCATAGGGAGGAGGGGAGTAGCTGGGAGGGTTAAGGGAGAGTGGCAGTACCTGCAGCTGGTGGCTGGGGAGTCCAGGTCTGGGATGTGGCCTCTGCTGCTGGTGCCCGGCACCTTGAATGAGATAGCAGTACGTACTGTGGGGGATGGGGGGGGGTCCCAAGGGCTGGGGGGTAGGGGTGGATGGAGCTGATGACTGTGCAGCCATCACTGCAGTGGCACTGGGCTGGGCAGCTGTCCCTGCGTCATCCCTTTTCTCCTGCATTGAAGCCTTCTCTCCATGGGTGGGAAGGCTAGAGTGGCTATTGCAGCAGGGGCTCTGGAGGGCAATGCTGTCCCGGGGAGCCCAGGCACCCTTCTCTGGGGATGGGGGGTGGGGTGCAATGAGAGACTCTGGATATGGATCCCTTAGGGAGGCAACTCCCCTTCATCCTTGTCACCCCCAGATGGTTTACCTGCCTGGACAGCAAGATGATGGCTACACTAGCCCCCATTCTCTGGTATGTGTCACTTACACTTCGGTGTAAATATGTCACTGTGTAACCTCAAGGGTAGTGGCACTTGATGCCTTGTCCTTAACTGAAGAACACAAGGCTTTGCTTCTAGTTAAGAGAATTTCAATCATCAGGTGAAGAGGCAGGGAATAGTGCAAGTAATGATAGCCAGCATCTGTCAGGGCGCACTCCACTCCAGGTCCTCTGCTGAGTGTGCATGCAATCTTCACAAAATTCCCAGCAGGAAGGAAATACTCTTGGTGTTGCCTTGTGGGCTGGCCAATGTGGCTCATCTGCTGAAGGCTGGCGATTTGTATATACTCCTGCAGCTAGTAATAGGTGGCATTTCATGCCTGGCCACTATGCAGCACTGCCTCCCAATTTTGGGTGGCATTTTAGGTTCCTCTAGAGCCTCTGAGGCAAGTGATTTGTCCATGAACCCAATGGCCTGGCTATGCTGGTGACCTTCTGCTTGGGCACTGCCCACGGGGAACAGAACAGAGGCTCTGAGAGCTGCCTCCTCTCCCTGGTGGCCAGAGTAAAGTGAGGGCAGAGGGAAGGGAGCTTGGGAAAGGGTGGGGTAGGGGGAGGCAGGAGGCTCACCCCCAGCTAGATGGTGGGTCAAGAAGCCCTTGAGAAAGATGGAGATCCTTCTTGTTTTTGCTGGAAAGGTGAGTGTGGAAGGTCAGCTACGTTTTATACCCCCGGTACCTAAGTGGCCTCTAGTAGGGGTGCATATTCAGCATGGAGCACAGGTTCCCACAGAGCAATGCCGTCCTGTTGGCTGAGGTCTGGGGAGAGGGGGCAGGCCTGGAGAGTGCCGATTCTGGCCCCTGGGCAGGCAGGGTTCTCTGGGTACTCCTTGCACCCTGGCCTCAGAGGCCTTGGCTACCACTGTTGTTTCTTTCTTTCTGTCCTCCATGCAAACTCAGGTCAGTTATATCACAGTCCTTCACAGGGCGCCTGGATTTGCCCACCAGATCTCCTCACCTCTTGCCCTTCACCTCCTGCTGTACCTACAAGGTCTCCCCGATTCTCATCTGCCCATAATCATGGACACAGCCCCAGGATGTGCAGGGTGAGTCCCCAGGGACCCTGAAAGCATGGGTACTCTTATGACTGAGGGCGTTACACCAGGGAGAGGGAGCCGGGGAGACTTCCCAGAGAGCTGGTTGGGGGTTATGAAAGTGGCCTCACGGCTGATGCGGTGGCTAACACCTGTAATCCCAGCACTTTGGGAGGCTGAGGCGGGCAGATTGCTTGAGGTCAGGAGTTCGAGATCAGCCTGGCCAACATGGTGAAACCCAGTCTTTACTAAAAATACAAAAAAATTACGTGGGCCTGGTGGCACGTGCCTGTAGTGCCGGCTACTCAGGAGGCTGAGGCACAAGAATCACTTGAACCTGGGAGGCGGAGGCTGCAGTGAGCCGAGATTGCACCACTGCACTCCAGCCTGGGCGGCAGAGCAAGATTCTGTCTCAAAAAAAAAAAAAAAGAAAAAGAAAAAAGAAAAAGTGGTCCCAGGCCAGGTGGGAGCAGCAGGCTCTAGGGGAGGAAGTGCATCCTGTGGAAGAGCAGGGAGCCGCTGGAGGGGTGGGGAGGGAAGGGGCAGCTCCCACCCTCATCTCCATCGTCCGCATGCTGGGGATACCAGGCCTCTTACTTGGGGTACTTAAGGCTAGACCAGATGGGGTTCCTGCATCTTAGGGAGTGACATTAGGGTGGGGGAAAGGTACCAAAATGGCCATGCCTCTGCTGTCTCTTGGGATCTTGAGATCTGTGGTGGCCTCTAGGAGTTCTCTGCTGCCAATAAGTGGTCCAACCATGTTACAGGATTGGACCCGGGATGGCCTTTGTGCTTTAGAGCTGAGGCACTTCCTGCTTCTACCTGAGCTCCTTTTCAACATATAGGCCTGGGCACGTAGGCGTCAGGGTCATGTGGGAGGTGGAGGCCGAGGGGAGAGGTGGGCAGTGGGGAGGGGTACACGGCTAGACCTTGTTGCTCTGCCTCCTCTTGGGACCCCCCAGTGGGATGGAGCCCAAGTCCTTGGGCAGCACATGGTCCTCTGCTTCACAGGACACACACCTGTACCCATCCTCCCCATCCACTTTTGCTCAGTTTATTTTGGGGACAGGGCTCTGAATTGACCTTTGGTCTTTGCAGACTCTCAGGGACCATCTGGAGTTCCAGCTGGAATCTGGGCCTGGTGGAGTGGGAGTGGGGCAGGGGCCTGCATTGGGCTGACTTAGAGAGCACAGTTATTCCATCCATATGGAAATAAACATTTTGGATTCCTGATCACATCCCTGGAGTTTAAGACTCTGGCCAACCAAGTCAACTCCACAACTTTGTGTGTCCCTGGGAGGGTCTGGTGTGGGACCCACCTGTCTGTGGCCCTCGTCCCCTCCCCTGCCCTTTCTCCACTCACATCTTGGTCCCTCTGGTGATTATCTCTTCCCTCTGAGGACAGATGGAACCTGATTTGAATGAGGGGTAATGGTCTTGTGAGGACCAGGACATGGATTGGGTGTGTGTTTATATGTGTGTGTGTGTATGTGTGTGTGTGTGTGGTGGGAATGGAATATCAGAGAAGGTGGTGGAGGAGGGAGGATTGAATTTGGAGAATCCCTGGCTTCTAGTGTCCGCAGGGGAAACAGCAGCTCCAGCTTCCCACAGCGGTCCCCTCCCCTCTGCAGGTCGAGCTCCCACCCTCTTGGAAATGCCTCTGAAGCTGCATAGTCCTCCCCTGATGCTTGTGCTCCCTTAGGGGATCTCCAGGCCTTTGGGTGTGGTCTGGCCCCTGGAGAAGTGTGGTCGAGTGGAGGATGGGGTCCTGCAGTGGCCATGTTCTGGACGCCCACATCACGGGGAGTTTTGAGGGATTGAGCCCACTTTAGCTTGGGTCTTAAAACCACCATGGTAAGAAGTGTCAACCTTTGGGGGAAAAATAAAAATATATAGAAATATTTAGAAAAACCCACCATGGGGGCCTACAAGTTCCTGAGTCAAGGCCTCTGCCGAGACTCCACTGACCAGCATGGTCACTGAAGGGCATGGAGGACCGTCCTGTGGGAAGAGGCTTGGACATGCACTGTGAACTCAAGAGCAAGGACACTGTGTTGATCTGGAGATGTGGGCAATGGGCGAGTACACACGGAGCATCCTCCTGTGCCTTGGAATGGGACAAGGTGGATTCCAGCAGCCCTCAGAGCTTCTGCTGGGTGGCTTTGCAAAGAAGGGGCTTTCCACTCTACTGTGGACATCTGCAGAGATTGGGCAGGGAATAAGATTTTCCATTCAACCCTGAGTTCCTTTTTTTTTTCTATTCCAAATTCATTCCAGAGCATGTGGTAGGATCAGTATCACAAGCCCCTAGTTCTTGGCCAGAGCCCTAGTGACTGTCTTGTGTGCATGGGGGGGCCAGCCGTTGCAGGAAGATGGGTCAAGAGTCTTCATCTGATGAGGGCCAGGGACTTTCCAACTCCCTCAACCCTTCCCCCAGGCTCTTTTCCCACCCTCACATTGAGCCCTCTTCACTCTGATAGTTGGGCCCCCTAGGACTTTTATTCTGAAAGAGCCAAGGCCCCTGGAGGTGGAGAGGAGGCCAGAGGCTGGAGCTGGCCTTGACCCTGAGCCAGCTCCACCCTTCTGGGCTGTTTTCCAAGGCAGCAACTCTGGGACCCTTGCTGTCCTCAGCTCTCCTCTTTATCTCTGGTCTCCAGCCTTGCTGGCCTTTGAGCAGAGGGTCCCTATAGCCAGGACTGCTGGGCTTCTCCCTCCTATGCCTTCACACCCCTGTATTACTGTCTTTTATTCCTTGACCTCACATCCTCCGTCTACTTCCTTTTTCAGCTTTTTCTGGCTTTCTTGCTGCTTGCCCTTCCCAAAGCAGACACGGAGGACAGGTCACCATTTAGAAGCTCCCCGCCTCCCCAAGCACTGGACAAAGGTCTTACCCCATTCCATCCCTCATTCCCAACACATAGGATGGAAGTATCAAATGGCCAGATGCCTTCAGATGTCAGAACCGTGGAGTCCGTTGAACCCTGTGTGTGGGGGGCTGTGTCTTGGGCCTGGTTTTGTTGAGCACATGAGACTTTCTCAAGGATAAGGACAAAGAAATGGACAAAAAGACTCTGCCAGTAGCCCCTGTTTAAACTCTTGAACCCCAGTCACAGTTTTCCAGAAGTCCATCAGGATAGAATTTTCACTAATCGCCAAATGCCCAAAGCTTAGTTCTTTCTTAGAAGGAAAAGAAGAGGTCAAATGGACAGGAGAGAGCGGAGATTGGTTGTTCTCAGGGGCTCCTTCCCTTTGCCTGCTTCTTTCATTTGGGACGCCAGACCTTGACCTGGAAGTGAGGTCACTATTGGGCAGTGGAGTGTGAGAAAGGACTTTGGCCTGGGGGCTGCAAGTTACAGATTAACACGGGGAGGGGTGAGGAGGGACCCAGAGGGAGGAAAGGTGGCCAGAGGAAGGGACAGCTGACCTGGCACAATCTGGGCTTGAAGGGGGCACAACAAGAGCGTCTGTGAGCTGGTGCTGTCTGGAGGGATCTTGGCTCCTCTCCGGCTATCTGACCTTCCTGAAGACCTGCTCGCACACTGCATCCCTTGCAGTCAGTTCCTGGGGAGAGAGGGGAAGTGAGGGGGAGAGAGAAAGAGGGCGTTTGCCAGCCAGAGCCCCTTTCTCAAGGTCCTTGACCTCCATTTACTCCTTCCGGATACAGCAGCTTGAGTGTTTGATGTATGGGCAATTGTATCATTATTCCACATCCTCAACTTTCCACCCCTCAGGAAGGAAGGTGGCTGGGTCAGGGGATGTGAGTGGCTGAAGCCTCCATCTCGCCAGTGATGATTTATGGGCATTCATCCGACTCGTAGCCAGGGCCCACCTTGGCCACTCTGTTTCTTCCTCTCCCCACTCCTCCCAGTGCTTTTGCTTTCCCTCCCTGGTCAATTCCTTGGATAGGGATTGGGGCTGGGCTGGGGGAAGAGTGGTGGACCTATCTGGTTTGGACAAGGGGATGCCTTATAGCTGGAGGCCCTTCTCCCAGACACCCAGCCCCCACCCCATTTACCAGATACAGCATCTCTCCCTCCAGCCAGTGTCTCCAGCCCCGGTTGGGGACCTCCCCTTTCTGCACACACACCAGGTGCTCCTCCTCCCAGGTTACTATGGTCTATAGGGGAAAGAGGGAGTAAAGAAAGATTAGGAGGCAGGACACTCAAAATGCTTCCCATCTCACTCTGAATGGGCTCCCCCTTTTACTCCACAGCAGATACTGTCTGCTGCAGCCCCTCCACTGAGCGAGGGAGCTGCTCTGATTCAGCAGGACTCCCTTTCCACCCTACTCTTTGTTTTTTGTGTTTTTTTGAGACAAGTTCTTGCTCTGTCACCCAGGCTGGAGTGCAGTGGCAGGATCTCGGCTCACTGCAACCTCTGCCTCCTGGGTTCAAGTGAATCTCATGCCTCAGCTACCAGAGTAGCTGGGATTACAGGCGTGCACCAACATACCGGGTTAATTTTTGTATTTTTAGTAGAGACAGGGTTTCTCCATGTTGGCCAGGCTGGACTTAAACTCCTGAGCTCAAGTGATCCGCCCGCCACCGCTTCCTAAAGTGCTGTGACTATAGGCATGAACCATCACACCCAGCTTTCCACTCCTAAAGGTCACCGAGGGGGGCCCAAAGTTGTCTACAGTGACCTTTAGGGGAGAGCAGGGGTGGTAGCAGGATAAGTAGAGGTGAAATTGGGGAGGGCATTTATGAAGAATGGAGACTTTTTCCTCTGGATACTTCTGGCTGACCTAGAGGGACTTTTGAGAAAAAAGAGAGATTGGTTGGGAATCCTACCAGGTAATCTCATTTCTCCTCTTTCTCGGTTTCAAGAACAGCTGAAGTATCCTTAGAAATAAAGGGTCAGCCCCTCTGGGCCTGAGCATTCCAATCAACCTTTATTGAGTTCTCCTTTAGGATAGGCCCCAAACAAGGAGCTCAGAGTCTTGAAGAGATAGAGGATCAGTAAATAGGTAACTGTGACACCAGGCAAGAGTGAGGGATGGCAGTGGGGCGGGCAGAGTGAAATCTTTAAGGAAGTTGGGAGTTAATTAGATTGGAGAGAATGGGAAATTTCTAGCAAGGAAAGAAACAGCTAGAAATAGCGGTAAAAGAGAAAGGCAATTAGTTCTGAAGGGCTCTAACCTAGAGTATATGTGGTGGAGGCAATTGAAGAGTTGATTCACAGAGACCCTTGTATGCTGAGTTAAGTGTAACAGATGATGTAATGTAATAGATCATCACTGAAAGGGTGTAAGTCAGAGAGTGACATGATCACATTTATGTTTTAAGTAGACCCTGTGGCTACAGCATGCAGATTAGAGGAGGGTTAAGCGTGAGAACCAGCTGGGTGCAGTGGCTTAGGCCCGTAATCTCAGCATTTGGGAGGCTGAGGCGGGAGAATCACTTGAAGTCAAGAGTTTGAGACCAGCCTGGGCAACACAGTGAGACCCCACCTCTACCAAAAAAAAAAAAACACAAAAACACAAAAAAGCAATTTCAGGCACCAGGAAATGAAGGCCTGAATTAGGGTGGTGATAGAGAAAGGTTAGGAGGGAACACAGGAGAGCCATTTAGAAGAGTGATGCTCAACAGAAATAAAATGGGTCAGGAGCCATATTAGAAAAGTAAAGAGAAATAGGGGAAATTAATTTAAATAATATATTTTAGTTAACCAAAAATATTCAAAATATTATTATTTCGGCATGCAGCCAATATAAACATTTCCGAAATGCTTCTTTTTATTTGGCATTGTCTGAAAGTCCACTTACAGCATCTAGATTTGGACTAGTTATATTTCAAGTATTCAACGGCCATCTGAAGTTAGCAGCTGCTATACTGGGTAATGCAGAAAAGCTACAAAGATTTCTTGGCCGATTAGATGTGGTGGTGGTGGTGGTGGTGGTGTGTGTGTGTGTGTGTGTGTGTGTGTGTGTGTGTGTGTGTGTGTGTGCTGGGAGCCTAGAGGTAAGGAAACAAGAGATATTGACCATGACTCCCAGGTCTCTGGCCTGGCTGGTTATTGCCATTAGTGGAGAGAGTAGATATAAAAGTGGGGTAGGTTTGGATAGGAAGACAGTGAATTTGAATTTGACCTTGGCATTCAAATGGAAATTGGTTCCAGGACCCCCACCTCACTAAATCTGCTGAATAAAATGGCTTAGTATCTGTAGAGAAACTACATACATCCCCCTGTGTACTTTATTATTATCATTTTGATACAGAGTCTTGCTCTGTCACCCAGACTAGAATGCAATGGCATGATCTTGGCTCACTGCAACCTCTGGCTCCCGGGTTCAAGTAATTCTCCTGCCTCAGCCTCCCAAGTAGCTGGGATTACAGGCATGCGCCACCATGCCCGGCTAATTTTTGTACTTTTGTATTTTTTTTTTTTTTTTTTTTTGAGATAGAATTTCGCTCTTGTTGCCCAGGCTGGAGTGCAGTGGTGCGATCTTGGCTCACTGCAACCTCTGCCTCCCAGGTTCAAGTGATTCTTCTGCCTCAGCCTCCTGAGTAGCTGGGATTACAGGCATGCGCCACCATGCCTGCCTAATTTTTTGTATTTTTAGTAGAGATGGGGTTTCTCCATGTTGGTCAGGCTGGTCTCGAACTCTTGACCTCAGGTGATCCGCCCGCCTTGGCCTCCCAAAGTACTGGGATTACAGGTGTGAGCCACTGCACCTGGCCTAATTTATGTATTTTTAGTAGAGATGAGGTTTCACCATGTTGGCCAGGCTGGTCTTGAACTCCTGGCCTCAAGTGATCTGCCTGCCTCAGCCTCCCAAAGTCTTGGGATTATGGGTGTGAGCCACCACGCCCAGCCTTTTCCCATATGCTTTAAATCATCTCTAGATTACTTATAATACCTAATGCAATGTACATGCTCTGTAAATAGTTGCTATACTGTATTGTTTTTTATTTGTATCATTTTGTATTGTTATTTTTTATTTTTATTTTTCCCAAATATTTTTCCATTTGCAGTTTGCTGAAGCTGTGGATGCAGAACCCATGAATATGGAGGGCCAACTGTATTTTGTAGGCAGTTGAAAACATTGCCCTGGAGCTCAGGAGATGGCTCTGGCTGGAGAATTCATGCCAAGGGCAGCCTATAGATGGAAGCAGAAGGCATGGGTGTAGATGATTTAGCCTATGGATAGTGGGCAGACAAAAGGGAGAAGACATTAAGAACAAAACTCTGCGGAGAAAACTCCAGTTTAAAGGATTAATAGGAGGACTAGGATCTGCAAAGGAGGCTAAGAAGGAATATGTAAGAAGTAGAAAGAAATGCAGGAGAGTGAAGTTATTGATGCTAAAGTAAAAGGGACTCTGGGTGACCAACAGTGTCACAGGCTGGAGGGTGGGCAAATGTTTGCTCTTCGGTCTGGGTTGGCCTGTTCTTTGCCCTTTGGGCTGGTGATAAGAGGGGGCAGGGAAGAAGTGGGAGAGAGACAGGGAGCACCAGGACCTGTTAGTTCTGGAGACTGGTATCCTGGGGACTGCATTCCCTGCTGTGGTGACCATTCCCCTCCTCCCCGCTGCTCTGGCTGGGGAAGGTCACTTTGTTTTGCCCCATGTTGTTAGGAGTCTCCTGTGATGCCTCCTTCCGGCCACCGCCCAGCCAGGGGAAATGTACCTGGCATTTTCGTCCGTCCACGCTCCTGAGGTCCTCCTCAAACTCCACTCCCACATCAAACTGCACAGTGTAGTTTCGGAAGGTGCTGAGCGTCCTCACCGTCATGTGGTTGCCCTGGTGTTCGATCTCCTTGTCCGGCTTCAGCAGCAGCGCGATCTTCCGCACAGCCAAGCTGATGTCTGTGGGGGCTGCCTGTTAGTAGGGGTGCTGCTAGCCAGCCAGGAGCTCCTCTGCCTGCAGCAGCCCCTCAGGGCTGTGAGTTTCCCTTCTTTGGGTCTGGGACTGTGGATTCACCCCCTCCTACCAATGCCTGGTTAGAAATGGATCCCAGGTCTGGTGCCAGCCGCCTGAGCCTTTCCACAGTGTCCAACCCCGGGCATTCCCTCTTCTCCATGGGACCAAGAAGCAGGAAGGAAGAGGGGAGAAAGGGAGTGACAGGGGTCTGGGAGGGCGAGGCCATTACTTAGGGCTTGCAGGTAGTCCTCCATGTTCTTCTGCGAGACAAAGCGGTAGTAGCCAGTGAGGTTGGGAGGCATTGTGTGGATGAAGGTTTCAGGAGAATGCAGGAGACAGGGTGAGGAAGGAGGGGGTGTTGTCTGGCAGGTGAGGCTGAGAGATTCCAGCCAGCTCCACACACAGAGACAGGATGTGTAATGGCCGGGTTACCAGGGCTTTTTATAAGGCTGGGGCCCTGTTGCAATAAGAGTCCCTACCAGACTTCTTCCCTCCCCGCATGGTGAGTTTGGGGGTGGTGTCTCCAGCCTGAAGGAGGGGCAGGGATTTGGCAAAGTTGCGCCTGACCTTGGCTTTTCCTGAGGAAGGAACCTGGAGCAGGATCCTTCCTGAGGAAGGAACCTGGAGCAGGATCTGGGGCTGTCAGTCATCCAAAACTCAGCCATCCAAAGGTCAGTGTTGGCCTCCACCTCATTTCTGGCAGGCTTGGGAACCGTCCCAGGGCCTGAGGGGCAGTCTTTCCTGGGAGACACCTGAGGCTGGTCTGGCTGTGTGAGGTGGAGATGAGTTCCAACAATATCCTGAGATCCTGGGACTGAGTGATGTTGGAAGATGTGAGGGGAGGGGGTGAGGATGGCCAGCTGCCACCATGAAGAGCACCCTGTAGGCCTGGCTCTCAGAGCTCCCTCAGGTAGTGTGCTCAACTGGGACCCCAAAGTGGCATTCCAGACTCTTGGTCCTAAAGAGCCATTAGGAGGGAGGTGGAGCCCGAGGGGTGCTGAGTTCAAAGTCCGGAACAGACAGCCTGAGAGGAGTTTGTTGGCTATTCTGGAGAATTTTATTCTTTTTGGCTTGGGACCCAGGGGGTTTTCTCTCCCTCTGAGTCATCGATGAGACCGTAACCCCCAGTCCCCAGCCCTAGGACAGCCCATGCTTTCCAGATGTATTTCTGTGAAGGTGGGGTGGAGGCGCCTAAATAATATTGTGCCCCGCCCCCAGCTGCCCAATTCTCTCTCGAACCTGCCATCGTCCCGGGCTTCAGAATCCACTGGGCTTGGTTCATCATGGTTTAAGGTGAAATTCGGGGCGAAGGAGGCAGGACAGGTAGGCAGGAGGAGGCGGCCGGTCCCGACAGGTGCGTGCGCGAGGGGTGCACGACGTCCTGCCCCTCCTTGGGTCCCAGAGCCTCGATACCGCCCTGCGGACCGCCCTGTGGCTTCCTCGCAGCCCTGGGCTACAAATGCCAGGATTTCTCAGGCTCAGACTGAGGGTTTTACTTCACCCTTCCCAGAGGGCACGCAGCACGGATCTGTGGATGGAAGGGGCTGTGGAAACAGGTTATGGCAGAGTTGGGGGGCGGGGTGACGCGGTGCCACCCCTCCTGGCCGCCCTCAGGTCCCGCTGACGTCTCTCTTCCCCACCCCCTGGCTTCTGGCTTCTTTCTCCCCACGTCCCTCTTCTTTCCCACCCCCTCCGTGGCTCTCCAGCTTCCTCCCCAGCCCCCGCAGTTCCTCGGCTCCCCCAAAATTGCAGCCAGGGGAAGGAGCCTTGAAACTCTCCAGCCCCGACGCCCCAGTCTCATTGGCTCCCTCCCCCGCTGCAGCACCTGGTCCCCCCCCCTCCCAGTCACCTGATTGGCCGGCGGCCCCATCAATCGTTGCCCGGCTGTGCTGACGTCATCCTGCAGTAGCGGGGTTGGGGTGGGAGTGAGAGAGTGAGGACGCTGGGCTGGGGGAAACGGGAAGCCGCTGCAAGTCCACCGCCTCAGCTACCCAGATTGGGATCTGCCCAGGCCCGCTTTATGGACTAGTGTGGGCGGCAGGCTCCTTTCCGTCCCTGCCCTGCTGTACCCCGCTCCTTGGAGACCCCCTGTATCCCTCCCGCAAGGTGGAATCCGCAGGCTGGAGGCTCCCAGGGGAGGCAAACGCCTGGCCCTGCCCTGCCCCACGCCGCACCATGACCCTCCTGCTGCTGCCCCTTCTGCTGGCCTCTCTGCTCGCGTCCTGCTCCTGTAACAAAGGTGAGTGAGGTGGGGGTGGGGGTACCGAAAGAGGGGCGTCGGGCAGCGCCGTGCGGGGTGGGGGTGGGAAGGAGGTGTCGAGGCTCCCTGGCACCTGACAGGTGTCTGGCCCTCTTCTGATCACCCTCCTTCCCATCCGTTCTCAGACCTGCTCCGTCTCCTCTCTTTCTCTTCCCCCAGCTACATCTTCCTTTCTGGTCCATCTCTACCCATGCGTTTCTCTTGCTGGTCATCTTGCTCCCATTTGGTCTCCATTCCCGTCCTGGGGTCTCTATTCTCCCCTTCCCCTAATTTCTACACGCTGGTGGCTACCTCGGGTCTGGGAAGGACTGCCCCCGAGCCGGTGATAGGCCTCTCCCCGCGGCTCTCCCTTTCACTGGCGCATGCTAAGGGTGTGTGGCAGATCCATCTGCTTCGCCTCCATCCCATCCTGGGGAGAAAGTATTTGCTGCAGTTCAGCAATTCGGAGCACGTATGTTTTTTGCGTGTGCCTCTGCATTCAGACCCTTTTGCCTGCATCAGCTGGGCTGTGGGTTACCAGAGCTGCCCTCTCTGGCAGACAGCGGATACATTCAGCTGGGCGGGGCTGTCGGACAGACGGAGAGGGAGGACGGGAGGGAGGGCTTGCGGGCAGAGGGCTCAGGTAGGTGGAAACGGATGGAGACTGGCAGGAAAGGGCAGAAGTGGGTGTGTGGGGGGCGCTAAATGAGTATGAGAGGGAAAGCTGAGAAGGAGAAGACCGGAGATGAGGCGTGGGAGGGGGTAAGGAGGGGATGGAAAAGGGTAAAGGTGGAGGCAGAAAAAAGAGGGAGGAATGAGGAAAATCAGGAAAAGAGTGAGTCAAGGAGGAGCCCGGGAGCCTAGGAGTGAAAGGGAGCAAACGCAGAGACCGCAGGGGGCCAGGAGGAGAGGAGACAGAGGCTCAGAGACCTGGGAAGACAAGCAGGGTGGGAGGGGGAGCTGTGCAGAGGGCGCCCAGCCCTGCCCTTCCACCGCTCTCTCTTCCTTGCCTGCATCTCTGACCTCAGCCTCGCCTCCTAGCCTCCTGCCACTTCCTGTACCGCCTCCTGTGCACCATCTTGTGGCTTTCTCCTCAGCATTCAGGAAGGGGTTATGGTGGTCATCAGTAAGAAAGCCTTCCCATGCCAAAGGCTTGCTGGTGTGTGGTTGGAGGAAAGAATGGAAATCAGGGTTTCTTGCTCACCGTGAGATACTGGGGATGAGGTTCCTTTTGGTGACTCAGTTTCCCTCTGCCTCATGATTGTGCTTTGGGAGCCTGGGTGTTGGCATGATGATGGGATTAGAGCAAGCGTGGAGGCTGGGGTGGGGGGTGATGTGGAAGGGGAGGAAATATGCTTCCCCACAGCCCCTCACCAGGCTGAATCTGGTAGAAGATGGGGAGATTTGGAGTCTGATGAGTCCCGCATCCATTCTGAATTGGCTGGTGGTTGAAGGGAAGAGGGATGGGGTAGATAAGAACTGGGATTGAGTTCTGTATAAAAAGTGGGTTTCAGGGAATGTGGTTTGATGGTCTTGTGGAGGACATAGAAATGTGTCGGTTTCGAATGTGTTCTCTTGGGTGTGGGGGTGGGAAGCAGGGACGGGATTTGTCATGTTTCTAGGCCAGCCCGATAATCCCTTAGGATGACGGCTCTGCTGGGTCCAGTTGCTCAGCATTGATTCCTCTGCTCCATTCCTGCCCCTCTCTGCCCCCTCCCTCTGTCCTATATATCTTCACTTCTCTCCTTTCTCCCCATCCTGTGTTCTGGGAGAGTGGCCTCAAGTTGGGGCTTGGCTGGGAGAAGTGCAGAGTGAAGGGATCAGGACTGAAATGAGTTGGGAGGAGGATAAGCAATCAGGATCTCAGGAAACTTCTAGATCTTTTTCTAGTTTCAATTCTGCCCTTAATCTATCCCTTCCCTTTCCCAGGGCCTTCTCACAGCCCACCACTGCTCCCTGAAGTTCCCTGTCTCCATTCTCTAGCACGTGAAATCGCTAAAGAACATTCTCCACTTCCTGACCATGGTTCCCATGGAGATAGTGATCCCCTCCTCTTCACCCCCAGGGCAGGTTGTTTCCATGGGAACTGTCTACCCTGCTATAGGAGAAGGCTATGACCTCCCGCAGACCCTCTGACTCCTTTAGTAGCTGATTTCTTGTCCTCAACCACCCGCCTCCTGTAAGGTGCTCCTATAGGGGGTGGAAAAGGTGATGGTGCTGGGGTGTGAGTTGTCTGGGTCAACAAGGGTTGTTGTGGGAGTAGAGGCCCTGCTCACAGGTGCTTCCTCTCCTCTCCCTGGGGTGGGGCCAGCCAACAAGCACAAGCCATGGATTGAGGCAGAGTACCAGGGCATCGTCATGGAGAATGACAACACGGTCCTACTGAATCCACCACTCTTTGCCTTGGACAAGGATGCCCCGCTGCGCTATGCAGGTAATTGGGATTGGGGGATGGCAAGGCAGGGTAGGACAGAGAAAAGTGGGTGGGAGGGCCAAGAGCAAGGGAGGGAGGGAAGGTCCTGGGAGTGATGAGAAAGTAAGGGAAGATAAAAGTGGGCTCAAGGAGGGGAATGGTCTCCACTGAAGAATGGAGATTGAGTCAAGGATGCCAGAAAAGGACATGGCCAGGCAAGGGTTAAACACATCATGATTTTGTCAGATCTCAGGTCTGGAGGCTCTGGGAGGTTGCTGCTCAGGGAAGCTGGGCTTAGAGTTGCGTGTTTGATCATTAATGCTTTTGTGCCTACAGGAGAAGGGACAGGGCTTTGGGAGGAGAGGTGGAGCTGGACCCCAGGTGGGGAGACTGAGGGTGGGGAAGGAGACACAGCAGCCTCACTCCTCCCCTTCTCCCCTTTGCCAGGTGAGATCTGCGGCTTCCGGCTCCATGGGTCTGGGGTGCCCTTTGAGGCTGTGATCCTTGACAAGGCGACAGGAGAGGGGCTGATCCGGGCCAAGGAGCCTGTGGACTGCGAGGCCCAGAAGGAACACACCTTCACCATCCAGGCCTATGACTGTGGCGAGGGCCCCGACGGGGCCAACACCAAGAAGTCCCACAAGTGAGGAAGTCCTTGTCTCCTGCCCCATGTGTTGCAGGGTCCTCCTCCCTGCTCCCAAGCCCACCATCCTCTGTCCGTGCGGTCATCGAATATCCACCCCCACCCGCTGCTGTTCCTAGGACTTAGGGAGCCCCATCCCCTGCTGTTCCTAGGATTTAGGGACTTTCAGGCAAGGTGACAGAAACGTATAGTAGAGTTCAGTGGATCTAATCTTGGCTTTGCCTCTCATGACCTTGGGCAGCCTAGCCTTTCTGGACTTGCTTTTCCTTATCTGTAGAATGGAGATTGTGATGACACCTACTTCATAAGGCTGCTGTGAAGATTCAAGGAGATGGTTTGTGTTGAAAGCATGCACCACAGTGCCTGATACACGTTGAAGGGCACAGTACATGGGCATAATGATGAGGAGGAGAGCAAGAAGGAAGAGGATGAACACACTCAGCATGCATCCAGTTCCCTTTCAACTGCCCCCTCCAGTCTATTTGCAGTGTATACCACACACACGATCCCTATCATACACATATAGCTCTAGGTGAGGGTGGGCAGGCGATGGTTGTAGCAAGAAAGAGGCTCGGGTCTGGGACACCTACGCTTGTTGCCAGCTAACTTCTTATTTGAGAATAAGAGAAAGATCTTCAGTCAGGATTCCTGAGCCACTAAGAGGCACTAGAGATAAAATGCTCTTTGTGACTCAGTTTCCCATTTGAAGATAGGACCCTTGCCTCTGGGGCCTGGGAGCCTGGGTCTTGGCCTGGGGCAGGGCTCAGCATGAAGGGCCTCGACCCAGCTCTGCTTGCCCCGGTGCATGACTAGGGAGGGGCCGCATGTGCGGGAGGCAGCACTGCCCACACGTACTGTGCAGACATGTCAGATGACTTGTGACCTTTGTACACATGCCATTTCCCTTCTTATGGCTGGTTTTAATTTGGCTTTTACTCTGCATCTTCCTTGCTTATCCCCCCGGATCTGACTGTTGTGAAGGAAGGCCCTGCTGGATTTTATGCCTTACCCCTCCTCTTGGCACCCTGACCCATAGCATTTTGCACAGAAGTCATCAAAATCAGCTCCTGAGCACCCCTGGGCCTTGTTCCTCATCCCCTACATCAGTCCTCCTTTCTTTGGGCCCTCCCTCTGGTGTTGTCCTCTCCCTGGCATGACTTTGATGCAGCTTGGTGCCCTGTGGGGTGGGGAGGAGCGTGCTGACTGCCTCAGTCTCAGGGATAGATGGGCAGGCTCCCTCCTGTTCTGGCTCTCCGTCGGGATTCCTGCTTGCTCCTTTCTGGCATATGGGTGTACCGTGTCGAGGCTGTACCTTGGTGTACAGTATAAGGCTGTATCTCGTTGTGCCCATATTGAGGCTGTTTGTTGGTGTACAGTATTGAGGCTGTATCTTGGTGTACGGTATCGAACCTGTCCCTCCATGTGCCGTATCAAGGCTGTATCTTGATGTACCGTATCGAGGCTGTACCTCGGTGTGCTGTATCAAGGCTGTATCTCAATGTATAATGTCGAGGCTGGCTGACGTGTCTTCATCCCTCCTTCTCTCTGGCATATGCAGGGCCACTGTGCATGTGCGGGTCAACGATGTGAACGAGTTTGCCCCAGTGTTTGTGGAACGGCTGTATCGTGCGGCTGTGACAGAGGGGAAGCTGTACGATCGCATCCTGCGGGTGGAAGCCATTGACGGTGACTGCTCCCCCCAGTACAGCCAGATCTGCTACTATGAGATTCTCACACCCAACACCCCTTTCCTCATTGACAATGACGGTGAGTCCACCCCTGGCTTCCCTGGCCACCCAGTTCCCCTTGAGCACCCACCTCCCTCAGGACAACCCAGGGTTGCATTCTCCACTTTTGCCCCTCAGACCCTCACCTCACCCTTCTTCCCAAATGGAGCCTTCTCCTCCCAGATGCCTTTTTTCCCAGCGTCCTGCTGCCTAACCTGCCTGCTGCCCGATGATCTCAGACATCCTCCCCTCCCTGCCCTGGGCTTTCTCCAATGCTCTAATGCTCTGTCCTCCTGACCCCACCCCAGGGAACATTGAGAACACAGAGAAGCTGCAGTACAGTGGTGAGAGGCTCTATAAGTTTACAGTGACAGCTTATGACTGTGGGAAGAAGCGGGCAGCAGATGATGCTGAGGTGGAGATTCAGGTGAAGCCCACCTGTAAACCCAGCTGGCAAGGTGAGAGCTCAGCGCTGTGCCCCATCTTGTGAATCATCTTTTTTCTTGGTCTCTCTTTCTGTCCTTTCTGACAATCATGGGGGCCAGGCTAGGGCTTGGATGATATTGGGGCAGGCTTGCAGCTATCTACTCTAGCCGGGCCATCCTGCCAGGAGCCCCAAACTGTCCATGGACATGGCAAGAGGAGCATGGAGAGGGGAGGCTGCTTTACCCTTCTCTCTCCCCATCACCCTCTCTGTCTCACCCATGCAGGCTGGAACAAAAGGATCGAATATGCACCAGGTGCTGGGAGCTTGGCTTTGTTCCCTGGTATCCGCCTGGAGACCTGTGATGAACCACTCTGGAACATTCAGGCCACCATAGAGCTGCAGACCAGCCATGTGGCCAAGGGCTGTGACCGTGACAACTACTCAGAGCGGGCGCTGCGGAAACTCTGTGGTAGGTGTGCCCCCAACACTGCCTCAGGCCTATCCCTTCCCATCCAACCTCTGTCCAAACTTTTCCAAGACTCTGCTTTACATCACCACTGGCCATCCACAGGTGTTTATCCATAGAGGTTGTGACACGATTAGCATTTGCGGCCCAAAAGGCAGGTACATATGTCTTTGGCAAAGATGCATAGTCATCGCACCAGACAGTCACCGGATGCATGGTGGAACAATGGTAGGGCGAGATGAAGAGTTGGAGAATGGGTTAACTGGAGAGATACTCTTAGAAGTGAGTTCATCCCTCTCTTGTCTTTGAAAGGCCATAAAAGGTGGCAAGACGTGCTGTAGGAAATCTTTTCCCATCAGTCCCTCTTTCCCTGCCTCCTGCCCTTTTCACCATCTGCTGCTTCTTGGCTCTGACACTTGTGCCTCCTGGGGCTCCCACAGGTGCTGCCACTGGGGAGGTGGATCTGTTGCCCATGCCTGGCCCCAATGCCAACTGGACAGCAGGACTCTCGGTGCACTACAGCCAGGACAGCAGCCTGATCTACTGGTTCAATGGCACCCAGGCTGTGCAGGTGCCCCTGGGTGGCCCCAGTGGGCTGGGCTCTGGGCCCCAGGACAGCCTCAGTGACCACTTCACCCTGTCCTTCTGGATGAAGCATGGCGTAACTCCCAACAAGGGCAAGAAGGAAGAGGAAACCATCGTATGTAACACTGTCCAGAATGGTGAGCCTCCCCTCCAGGCACTAGCCAGAGGGGGAAACTGGCTTCTTGTCCCGCCTCTGTCACTGCCCAGTGTGTGACTGTGAACAGGTCACTTCCCCTCTCTTCATTTGTGAGGTGCAAGTGCCAGGTGTGATATGCCTTGATTCTGTGCTTTATCCCCAACATGACATGTTGGATCGTACTGCTGTCAGAGTGCAATGGGATTCCTTGCTGCTACTCTTGTTTTCAGTTGCCCAGTCAACTTCTCTGTGTCCCACCATGTGGTAGGCTGTCCCCACCCCCCATCTCCACCTCCATTAAAGCCCCTCCATTGCAATGGGAAAGCCTGGGTAATGGTGTGCCCCATTCTTTCATCATCCCATCCTGGGACTGGTTGGCCCCAACTCCGAGGCCTGTTCTTCCCTCAACTGCAGGGCCTACTTCACTGGAGAGGGCTTAGTCTTGACCTGCTCTTTCATTTCTAGCCAATTCTCCAACCTCATTTCTCTTGACCTTGACAACTCTTTTGAAAAGGGTTGTCACCCATGATGTATGTATTAACCAAAGGACTGATGAAGAGCTGGTGATGGAGTGGGCCAGCTGATGTTCCCTCCTCAGCCAGCCAGCCAGGGTGCCTAAGAAGCCCAAGTTATCACTTGGACTGGAATGTGTGTGTGTGTGTGTGTGTGTGTGTGTGTGTGTGTGTGAGAGAGAGAGAGAGAGAGAGAGAGAGGAAAGAAAAATGCTAGAGAACGAGGGAATGAGAGAGGATTAAGAGAATCCAACATCCTCTCCTTCCTGCTGCTTTGAACTTGTTCTGGCCTCAGCCTCTGCACTTGACCCCATCCCCTTCCTGTGCCCTCAGAGGACGGCTTCTCTCACTACTCGCTGACTGTCCACGGCTGTAGGATTGCCTTCCTCTACTGGCCCCTGCTTGAGAGTGCCCGCCCAGTCAAGTTCCTCTGGAAGCTGGAGCAGGTGAGGCAAGAGCCAGGCTCCTGGGAGGGCTGAGTAGATGTGACTCACTTTTAGGAAAGGACCTTCTCTGGGCAGGGTCAGCATTTTCTGGGTTCCCCCTTGCCCTCTCTTTGCTTCTTCACTTTCAGCCCCTGACCATTCTACTCCCAGGTCCTCTTGTTCCCTTTTCCCAAAGCTTGTCCCCTGCAGAAAGCACTTCTGGATTTAAAAAAAAAAGGGAACAAATGACTACTAACACCAAAGTCGACCAACCATCTATTTCCTCCTTGTTTTATTCTCTCTCTCTCTTATTTAGGACTTTAACAGTATACATCCCTGACTCTCAGGCAGTTAGCCTGTTGTAATCAAGACAATAAGTCATTCTGAGGTACACAGATTGGGTTTGAGTCCTGCCAAGGGAATTTGCTGGCTATGAAATCTTGGTTAATATGTGTAAACCTCAGGGTTAAAACAACCCTGTTATATAGGGATAAAAAGAATTCTATATCCCAGAGTCGTTAGGATTAAATGATGTAATAGACCGTTGTAGACTGAAAAGCACTCCCTCTGTATATGTTAATTCTCACTATTATCAGCCCTGATTATGGAGGGATAAATAAAAATGGATAAAATATTTAAAATCCTCTCTTGAGCCAACAGTTGCAGCCTCTTCATTATTTATTCTCCAGGCTGACCACAAGGACCAGTGAGGACTAATTTGAGTTTTCACCTCCTTCTGTTTCTCTTGCAAGTCCTGGTGGAGTGGCTGAGTAAGCAAACGGCAAAAAAAAAAAAAAAAAAAAAAAAAAAGCATTAGAAGAGAGAAAAGAAGTGCCCAGATAATTTATAAACTAGATAATTGAGGGCTGTCTACAAAAGTTTTGCTGTCTGTGGCACTCTTTTAAAGAGACAGTCTGTCATTTGCTGTTTCTTGATTCCCCCCTCACACTGCAAATATTGGTAATGTTACCCTTGCTATCTTTCTTCAATTCACCCTCATTTAATCAACCAGTATCTATTAAATACAACTAAGTCTCTGTCATTCAGCTAGGTTCTGGGAATACAATGAATGAAACAAAATCTTTGCCATCATTCAACTTACATTTCAGTTGGGGAGATAAAGTTTTAAAAAGTAAATAGACATGTAAAATGATAAATTGTGAGAAATGCTCTGAAAGAAGCAGGCAAGGGACTGGGGCAGAGCATGGCGGGAGGCAAGGAAAGGAGAACTTGCCTTAGATTGGGTGCTCCTGGGGGACCTGACTGAGGGGAAATTTAAGCCTAGTGCTAAAGGATGAGAAATAGCTGGGTGTGGGAAGAGTGTGGGAAGGTTCCAGGAAGAGGGAAGAGCATATGCAAAGGCCCTGAGGCAAGAAAGAGCTCAGCATGTTCCAAGCATGGAAAGAGGGCCAGTGCGGTTGGAGTACAGTGAACAAGACTGGAGATAAGTTGCAGAGATGGGCAGTGATCAGGTTGTACAGTGGACTTTTTCAGCAGGGTTAGTCTAGATTTTTGTCATATGAGAGACAGGAAGTGTTTTTTGAAGGATTTTAAAGCAGAGGCATGACCTGATCAGATTTACATCATCATTATTATTATTATTATTATTATTTTTTTTTTTGAGATGGAGTCTCACTCTGTCACTAGGCTGGAGTGCAGTGGTGCGATCTTGGCTCACTGCAACCTCGGCCTCCCGGGTTCAAGAGATTCTCCTGCCTCAGCTTCCCTAGTAGTTGGGACTACAGGCGTGTGCCACCACGCCCAGCTAATTTTTGTATTTTTAGTAGAGATGGGGTTTCACCATGTTGGCCAGGATGGTCTTGATCTCTTGACGTGATCCACCCACCTTGGCCTCCTAAAGAGCTAGGATTACAGGCGTGAGCCACTGCGCCTGGCCAGATTTACATTTTAACAAGATCCCCTTGGCAACTGTGGGATGGTTGTATTGAAGGTATCTAATGGTGACAGTAAACAGGACTGTTGCAACAGTCTTCATGAAAGGGGTTGGAGACATGACTGATGTGTGGCAATGGAGACGGAGAGACCTGCACAGAAACCTGCAGCTTGTAGCTCTGTTTGGACCTGGGATCAACAGCACCTGCTAATGGACTGGATGTGGAGGCTGAGGGAAAGGGAAGATCAAAGTTGTCTCCTACGTCAGCCACTTGAGCAGCTAGATGGATGATGGAGCATTTATACTGCCTGGGGAGAAACTGAGGGAGTTGGGAAAGGGCATGGACTTGCACCTTACACGTGTTAAATGTGAGATACTTGTGGGCATCCAAGTGGAGAATCTGGCATTCAGAGGAGAGTTATGGGCTGGAGATGTGGATTTTGGAGTTACCAGTGTATAACTATGGTACCCAAACCCATGGCAACAGATGAGGTGACTTCTAGGAAAAGAGTGTAGAGAGGAAAGAGAAGAGGGCCTAGGTCTGAGCCTTGAGGGACCCCAACATTTGGAACTGGATGAGGCAGAGTACTCTCTGCCCCTTTTTCCTCTGACCATCCCCCATTCCATCTTGGCTGGCCCTAGGAGAGACTGCAAAGGGAAGCAATATTTATTTTAGTGCTTAATGTTGGGTTAGAAGCTATCCTAGAGATAACCTGTGATCCCAGCTACTTGGGAGGCTGAGAGGATCACTGGAGGCCAGGAGTTGGAGACCAGCCTAGGCAACATAGTGATAGCTCATCTCTAAAAAATAAAAAAATTAGCTGGACATGGTGGCACATACCTGTAGTCCCAGCTACCCCAGAGGCTGAAGTGGGAGGATTGCTTGAGCCGAGGGGTTTGAGGCTTCAGTGGGCTATGATTGCACCACTGCACTCCAGCCTGGGGGACAGAAGGAAACCCCATCTCTAGAGTTTCCAGTGCCTTACACACATATGTAATACATAAGTTCGGGGGGCAGGGAATTTATTCATGAAAGTGTGTTACTCCTCTTAGGAATATTTATAGCTTTAACGATTTACCTGAAGAGTGGAATCTTTGCTACTAGGTTGGTTGCCTGATAGATTTTGGACAAGGATGTTATTCCTCGAGCTGGATAGGCAGCAAAGCACTAGTAAGCCCTGTTGGTAGAACTGGGAATAAAGGGACTGTCCCCTGTCTCCCAGGAGATGGGGCAGTGCCTAGGGTTAGCTCTCTGAAGACGAATTACCTGAGAGGCTCTTGCCCCTACCCTACTCTCCCAGGTCTGTGATGATGAGTGGCACCACTACGCTCTGAACCTCGAGTTCCCCACAGTCACACTCTATACCGACGGCATCTCCTTCGACCCTGCCCTCATCCATGACAATGGCCTCATCCACCCACCCCGAAGGGAGCCTGCTCTCATGATTGGGGCCTGCTGGACTGGTAAGCTTCTCAGTGAAGACTCCAGTGGTTCAGGATTTGGGAAGGGAGGTAGGCTGGTGAGGAGCAAGGGCAGTCTGACCCAGCAGCTGAGGCCGCCTCCTGCATCTCTCTGCAGCTGTGCAGGGTGACTCTGAAGATCTCCATGGGAAGGGACCACAGCCTCCCTCCCGTATCTCCCACTAATCCAATGGGTCATCACCTCTGACTTGGAGGAATTAACTTCTCACGCATCCCCAGACTCTCTCTCTGTAACTCCAGCCAGTTTCCACTTTTTTCCATCAAAGTGATGATGACTTCCATAGCCCATTCCCCTGCTCAAGGAGAGTAACCCCTTAGAGTGTCCTCGGTCTTCCAACTTTTAAGCCATTGAAAAAATTTTTCTCCTCTTGGGAGTGTGTGTGTGCACATGTGCCTGTCTGTCTTACCAGAGCCCACGTGTTTCCTCAGCAGCATATCGTATTTGGGGGTTTGTCTATAATAGAGGCTGGAGAGGTTGGAACATGACAAAAGAAGGGTTGGGGCTGAGCTGAGAGGTTGCAAGTTATACATGGGCAGGGTCAGAATCCCATGTGGGCATGAGAGCACTCATGGGGATGAGAGGAAGACATCTCATTCCTCTCTGTCAATCTCTCCACATCCCTGAGCTCACCAGCACTGTTTTTTTTTTTTTTTTATCCCCAGAGGAGAAGAACAAAGAGAAGGAAAAGGGAGACAACAGTACAGACACCACCCAAGGTACTCCGTGTGTAAGAACTGGAGACCAGAGAGTTCTCATCTTCACTTTCTGTTCTGAGATCCCTTTTCCACCCCAAATCCTATCCAGCCTGTGACAGCCTCCTAGGCCACCAGGGGGCAGAGCCTCCAAGAAATACAGCAGGGCAGGGGCTCCTGGAGTGGTAAGGCTAGAGGCAGCTTGGCTGGGTTCTGGGTATCCTGTCCTGCCCACAGAATGAAGAATGGGGCTCTCTTGGTGGCTTTCCACATGGTAGAAGGGAGGTGGCAGGAGTCAGGAGTCAGACACGCAGAAGGGGAAGGTCTGGGCATCTGTGAAGCTCGCTCACATCCATCCTGGTCTCCCTGCATGTCACTGGAAAGACGTTCTCTCCTGCCGCCTCCCCCTCCCTCCTTGTTTTGACTCTTTCCTCCTGTTGGTCCTGTTTCCTTCTCTTCCTCCCTCTCATCTTTGTTGCTTCTACTTTTCACCCTTCTTCTTCTCCCCTGGCTTTATTCTGTCTTCTTTTGTCTCATTTTCTCCCTTCTCTAGCCTCCCCCCTTACCTTCACTTCTCCCTCACCTCTCATCTCTCTTTTTTCCTTTTTTTTTTTTTTTTTGGTTTCCACATTTCTCCTTTTTTTCTTTCTCAACTCTTCTGCTCTTTCTCTCCTTTCCCTTTCTCTCAGCCTTCGTCCTTTTCCATCCTCCTCTCTTCTCACCTCCCGTCCTGCTCCTGTGTTCCTACCCTAGGAGACCCTTTGTCGATCCACCACTACTTCCATGGCTACCTGGCTGGTTTCAGCGTGCGCTCAGGTCGCCTGGAGAGCCGCGAGGTCATCGAGTGCCTCTATGCATGTCGGGAGGGGCTGGACTATAGGGATTTCGAGAGCCTGGGCAAAGGCATGAAGGTATTGCCCCATCCTCTAGCCCTGTTCTTCCCAGCATGCCCCTTGCCCCACCCCCTTGCCCTACCCCTCTACCTCTGCTCCCTTCCTCTGCCACCTCCTGGCCCTGCTCTCAGCTGTATCTGTGTCTGGGGCCCAGGTCCACGTGAACCCCTCACAGTCCCTGCTCACCCTGGAGGGGGATGATGTGGAGACCTTCAACCATGCCCTGCAGCATGTGGCTTACATGAACACTCTGCGCTTTGCCACGCCCGGCGTCAGGCCCCTGCGCCTCACCACTGCTGTCAAGTGAGTGTTGGGTGGGGCAGGGCAAATCACCAAGCAGAGCCAGACAGTGTCACAGCTCCTTGGCCTAAGGCGTCACCTAGAGCTAGGCATACCTCTTTTGTTTTATGGATGAGGAGATTGGGCCCTCAAATGGAGACAATTGACCACTGAAGGTCACATAGCAATATTGGTAGAAGAGTCTGGACTATACTCAGATTTCTCAACAATCAATCTGTTACTCTTTCTACCAAGTCACACATCTAGGGTTTCCGGGCTTTGATCTTCTCTATGCCTCTGTGCTGATACGTAAAGTGGGACACAGGATTGGGAGTGGGGAGACCTGACATTAATTCTGACTCAATGCGAATTGCTTGGATAACCTCGGGCAAATGGTGAGTCCTGGCTGCTTCACTTGTTTTAATCTTGCTTCACCAAGCTCTTGCAAGGTCACGTACGATGGCCTAAGTCTGGGGGTTGGCAGTCCTAGGCCAAATCTGGCCTGCCCACCTGTTTTGTAGTTTTATTGGAACACAGCAGTGCCCATTCATTGCATATGTCTATGGCTACTTTCACTGTGATGGCAGAACTGTGGGTAGTTGGGACAAAGATCATATGGCCCCCTCAAACAGAACTATCTAATCCTTCATAGAAAAAGTTTGCTGGCCGGGCACGGTGGCTCACGCCTGTAATCCCAGCACTTTGGGAGGCCAAGGCAGATGGATCACGAGGAGTTCAAGACCAGCCTGGCCAACATGGTGAAACCCTGTCTCTACTAAAAATACAAAAATTAGCTGGGCATGGTGGCACGTGCCTGTAATCCCAGTTACTTGGGAGGCTGAGACAGGAGAATTGCTTGAACTGGGACCCAGGAGGCGGAGGTTTCAGTGAGCCGAGATTGCACCACTGCACTCCAGCCTGGGCTACAAAGCGAGACTCCATCTCAAAAAAAAAAAAAAAAAAAAAAAGTTTACTGACCTCTGAATTCTAAGTGAATGACTTTTGGAGTCTTTAAAAGAAAAATTGTAGATTATTTCAAGGTTTGAGTATATATTACATGTTTAAAAATACAGATCAATTGAGAGGCAACGAAAGTATGATAGTTAAGAGCATAGGGTCTATTGCTAGCTTTTTGGCACTGGGCAAATGCTATAAAGTGGTGATAGCAATAGAGTCTAACTCGTGGAATTGTTACGATGACTACATGATATAATCTGGATCAAATGCCTAGCAGAGAGTGGATGCCGCTTAAATGCTGGCTATTATTACATAAAGGCATTTTCACCCCTTATTATGGTTTATGGGCGGTTTTTAGGAGATACTGCCATCTAGTGGGTGAATTACATGATTTAAGAGTTAGGATTTCTGCGTTCCAATCTTGTTACCCCTCTCCCCGATTCTGCCTCAGTTTCTCTGTGAGCTATATGAAGATAAACATCTCAAATTTGCCCCTATCCTGGGAGGGGTGGGTTTAGAGGGGAGAGGGCTCTGAGCCCTAGAGGGTGACTGGGCGTGATTATCAGGCCTCACAGTTAGAGCTGTGGAAGGCCCCGGGCTGTGGCTTTTGGGAATTTGCTGGTTCAGGGTGTGGAGCTGAAGGTCACAGGCAGTTGAGTTAATGTGGGTGCAGCTGATTGCTGAGTATGCACCCCGCCATGTCCCAGTCAGAGCTCCAGTTGTTAAAGGGCTGTCATCCAGTTATGAAAGGCTTGATCCCTCAGAAGCCAAGGCATTGCCTCGTCCCCTCCAGTGCTGAGGAGCCATGGCAGAAGGGAGGGCTCTGGTTTTTGGCCTAGGGTGGAGCTCTGCAAGGGGAGTTCCTGCGGGGGGAGGAGTTGACATTCTCTTTGCTGACTGCCTCATCTGAATTCCTGCTATCTTTTTCATGCCCAGGATAGAGGTTTATCCAAGGGCTTGGAACCTGCCTTTGAGGAAAGGGGCCTTGATGTTTTCTCTATGAGGTTAAGAAACAGAGTTTTCATTTCTCCATTTCTAAGGTTACTACATGGTTGGTGCTATCCTAATACTTCCCTGAGGTCACGGGAGAAAATATAGAGGGGTGTGTGTGTGTGTGTGTGTGTGTGCGCGCGCATTTGTGTGTATGTAACAGACACAGACAGGTACCTAGCAATACCTCCCTTTCCCTGATGCATTTCCTTGCCCCTGTCCCTGTGGCTTTCATAGCTTCCAGTTTTCAGTTCTTGGACCTCTGTCTATTTAAAGCCAGATTTATGCAACTATTTGGTCAATGCCTAAATGCAAGTTTTCCTGAAGTTTTTTTTTTTTTTAGTATTTTTCTTGGAAAGCCCATTTACTTGTGGAATTGACCCCTGAACAGATAGATACCACATCTATTTCTCTAGTTTTGTCCTCTTTCCACAGCTCTTGACTTTCCATCTGCTTCCTGTAACCTCTATCTAGAAGTTCTGCTAGCACCTCAACCGAAAGAGCTAATGCTGAAATAATCAACTGCAATCCCAAACCAGCCTCTCTCCCTGAACTCTCTCTGTAATGGTGCCTCTGTCCTTGCAGTCATCCAGAGCTTGAAACCTCTGAGTCATCTTTGATTCTTCCCTGTCTTTATCCTCCACTGCCCATCAGTTGCCAGCTCACCTGGACCCTGCCTCTGTGCCGCGTGTCTGAAATCTGTCTCCTCTTTCTTTTGCTGCTGTTACTGTTCTAGCCCAGGTCTTATTACCTCTTATCTGGCCCATTGCCTCCTAACTAGCTGACCTATCTCTAGTCTTCGAATTTTATTTATCCTCTACTCTGAGGCTAGGTGAGTGATCTTAAGTTGAGTTTTCATCATCACACTTCCCTGATGAAAAAGACGTCGGTGGCTTCCTCTTGCCCACTGCATAAAAATGTCAAATGTGCTGGGTGCCGTGGCTCACACCTGTAATCCCAGCACTTTGGGAGGCCAAGGTGGGAGGATCACTTAAGGCCAGAAGTTCGAGACCAGCCTGCACAACCAACAGACCGCAAGTCTGTAGTCCCAGCTACTCAGGAGGCTGAGGTGGGAGAATCACTTGAGCCCAGGAGTTCGAGGCTGCAGTGAGTCATGATTGCACCACTGCATTCCAGCCTGGGCGACAAAGCGAGACCCTGTCTCTAAAAAATTAGAGAGAGAGAAAAAAAAAACAGATCTTATCATGGCATTTAAAGCTGCCAGCCATCTGGCTTCTGGTGGTTCCTGCCTCATGTTCCTCTACTCCCCTTAGTAAGCTTCTCGCCATCCACTCTGGGTCAGTACTACCCTCCTTCAAAGGCTAGCTCAGTTGCTACTTTCTCTGATCGTTCCTACCTTCCTTTTCCAAGCACCCTCCTCTTATCCTAGGCAGAACTAACCTCTCCCTCCTCTGAACTCTTCTGGTTGTTTGTTCCACTCATATGGCGATGACCATATTTGCCTTTCTTTTAACTTTTGTGTGCCACGTCTAATCTCTCTACCAGACCAACGGTGCCTTTGGGTCAGGCCTCCTATTCCCCTTGGGATTCCCAGACCAGCGGCACAGCACAGCATTGCTCATTGCAGGGAGGATGTCTGTTGGAGCCTGTGCCTTCAGGGTCATCTGGGATTGTTTCCCAAGGGGCTTTGCCCTAGGCCTATCTGGATGGCAGACTGTAATAGGCCCTGCTCCGTGTGGTACAGGAACTCAGCACATCCCGGGCATTGGCAACTTCAGGGGCTCTGAGCTCATCATGCCTACTGAGATGATGCCTTCTCCCTTTTTACTCCAGCATTCAAGCTGGGCATGCTCAGTAACACTAATAATTACAGTCCTCTCTGTAAAATCATTTCCGCTAGCACCAGCGTGGGGATCAGAGTCCATGCTCCTGGATCACTAACTCCACCGTGAAGTCTGCTTGTTCAAGTGGGGAAACTTCTTTACAGATACATTTCCCTGGTGCAAACCCAGGCCCCAAATGGTGCCTGTGGTTTAGTGGAAAGATCAGTGGACTTGGGCGGTGTGTGGTGGCGCACACCTGTGGTCCCAGCTCCTCAGGAGGCTGAGGCACGAGATTGCTTGAACCTGGGAGGCAGAGGTTGCAGTGAGCTGAGATGGCACTACTGCACTGCAGCCTGGGCAACAGAGAGAGACTCTGCCAAAAAAAAAAAAAAAAAAAAAAAAAAAAATCAGTGGACCTGGAAGGAGAAGAATGATTTAAGCCTAGACTCTGGTTTAAGCCTTGATTGTTTCTTTTTCTTTTTCTTTCTTTTCTTTTCTTCTTTTTTTTTTTGAGATAGGGTCTCACTCTGTCGCCCAGGCTGGAGTGCAGTGGCCTGATCTCATCAGCTCACTGCAACCTCTGCCTCCTGGGCTCAAGTGTTCCTTCCACCTCAGCCTCCTGAGTAGCTGGGACTACAAGCATCTACCACCACACCTGGATAATTTTTGTATTTTTTGTAGAGACGGGGTTTCACTATGTTGCCCAGGCTGATCTCGAACTCCTAAGCTCAAGGGATCCTCCCGCCTCAGCCTCCCAAAGTGCCAGGATTTACAGGCATGAGCCATCATGCCCAGCCTGAGCTTTAGGCATTTTACAGCATAGAAATGAGGTTATAATATAATGAAATAATATGGGCCAGGTGCGGTGGCTCACGCCTGTAATCCCAGCACTTTGGGAGGCCGAGACGGACAGATCACCTGAAGTCAGGAGTTCAAGACCAGCCTGGCCAATATGAAGAAATCTCATCTCTACTAAAAATACAAAAATTAGCCGGGTGTGGTGGCATGCGCCCTATAATCCCAGCTACTTGGGAGGCTGAGACAGAGGAATCGCTTGAACCCAGGAGGCAGAGGTTGCAGTGAGCCAAGATCGCACCATTGCACCCTAGCCTGGGCAACAAGAGTGAAACTCCATCAAAAAGAAAGAAAGAAAGAAAGAAAGAAAGAAAGAAAGAAAGAAAGAAAGAAAGAAAGAAATGTGGGAAAATGCTTCATAAACTGGCAAGGGCTATTGATTGTGAGGTGTTGTTATTACTGGTAAAGGTGGGGCTAAATGTGATCCTGGGAGCATCACTGCTGAGCAGCTGTGCTGTTGGTTGGTCTGGCTCAACAGAGTCCTCTAAGGATAGCTTGTCCTGATGCCTGGATCCTCAAGCTTCATGAGACGGTGGATCTAGGTCCAAGGTGGTCAGATGATCTCACCTACCAAAGTGTGTTTCCCCGATATTGAAGGGAATGAAAGACACACCAAAGAGGAGGACATCCTTTGATAGATGTCCACATTCTACTTTTATTGTTGAATAATTTTGGGCGCATATGTGCCGGATAGTATACTGAGTCCATGTACTTTTAAACTGCTGGATAAAGAACTGTGTGTGTATATATACCTGTTTGTCAGTTCAGTTTGCTTTGTTTTTCATTAAAATAGCATCTATAGGTACTCCATAATCCTGGGGTAGGGCATTGATGGTGTGATCACACCCACAGGTTGGGATTACCTGACCTTCTGTCCTCGACATTTTCCTTGGTGACATCCTACCAGGAAAGGATATGTCCCCCTTCAACTGCTGTGGGGGTTGGGATGCAGAGGCATGACCCCCTTTCTTCCCCTGCCCCTTCCTGACATGAGATGCTCTATGATAGAGGTAGCTGGGGCGGGGAGTGAAACAGAATGTGGGTTTTCGGGGAGGAAGTGTTGGGGTCACATGCTGCTTCTCCTGCTTTCTTACATAGGTGCTTCAGCGAAGAGTCCTGCGTCTCCATCCCTGAAGTGGAGGGCTACGTGGTCGTCCTTCAGCCTGACGCCCCCCAGATCCTGCTGAGTGGCACTGCTCATTTTGCCCGCCCAGCTGTGGACTTTGAGGGAACCAACGGCGTCCCTTTGTTCCCTGATCTTCAAATCACCTGCTCCATTTCTCACCAGGTGGAGGCCAAAAAGGATGAGAGTTGGCAGGGCACAGGTAAGGACGACTTCGGGGAGTAACACCATCCAGAGAACCAGCCAGTGTCTGGAGTCAGAGTGTGGGAGAACTCCTGGGGCTGGAAGCAGAAAGCGACTCCATCCTGTGTTTGTTTGACTGAACAACTTACCTTTAAGAAGGAGAGCAAGTGGAAAACACGTGGGTGGAAATGAATTGTTGCATAATGATATTCTTGAAAATGATGCTGACTTCCCTCTCCCTGGCCCTGGAAAGGGAGGGAGAGTGGTGATGAGGGCATGGTTGGGTCTCAGAACCTCCGTGGGCCCTTTGGCTCTGACCCAGACCCTACTATCCCCAACCCAGTGACAGACACACGCATGTCGGATGAGATTGTGCACAACCTGGATGGCTGTGAAATTTCTCTGGTGGGGGATGACCTGGATCCCGAGCGGGAAAGCCTGCTCCTGGACACAACCTCTCTGCAGCAGCGGGGGCTGGAGCTCACCAACACATCTGCCTACCTCACTATTGCTGGTCAGTGGGGCCTGAGGGCCTGTCCTCTGTGTGTGTGTGCCCCTCCCAAAAAGTAAGGGCCTAGGAAGCCCAGAGGGTCCTCCTTCCAGGTCCAGGGATGTGGACAAGTGCCGTTTTGCATTTTCCTAGCCTGGAAGATCCTCTGGCTTTGATTGTCCCTAGGGAAGGTGTGCTGGGTTTAGGCTCCGAATGCTTCTGTCTTCCTGCTCCTCTCCATAGCCTGGCTCACCTCCACTTCTGGTCCCACTCCTGTTTCCATTCAGGCTTCTCACCTTCCTCTCCTCCTTCGGCTCATCTCTGCCCAGCTTTCTAACCCTCTAGCTGTCTGTTTGTTACCGGTCATCTCTGTTGTTCAGCTCACTCATCTCACGTGCACACCAGAGCTTTACAAGAAGTACTCATCTCTTAGTGAATAGTGGGAGTGATGATTTGGTAGTTTCCAAAGGAAGCCAGGAGGGAGAATGGAGAAGATGGAGATAATCAGTTCCCTTCTATTTCCACTCCTTTCCAGGGCTCACTGAGGACTTCTGTATTTTCCTCTTTCTCATATTCCCTCCTGCTTGCCATCTCCCTTTCTGTCTTTCAGGATGTCTTTATCTCCTTCTTTCCATTCCTCCTCAGAACCTACAGAGCAGGAAATGGAGCCTTGATCTCTCCATCCTAGTTAGTCAGAGTGGGCAGGGATGGAGGGGAGCATCCCTCCCTTCGACCTCAGGTCGCACTTCTGCGGAGATGGGGCTGACCTGCTCTACAGCTTGTGTGGCGTCAGCTGGTGGGAGTCCAGGAGAGAGGGTCCTGCCCAGGTCCTGCCTCCACTGGCCCCTGCCCTGAGGTGCTTCCTCATCTCCAGGGGTGGAGAGCATCACTGTGTATGAAGAGATCCTGAGGCAGGCTCGTTATCGGCTGCGACACGGAGCTGCCCTCTACACCAGGAAGTTCCGGCTTTCCTGCTCGGAAATGAATGGCCGTTACTCCAGCAATGAATTCATCGTGGAGGTACCCAGAGAGTCTCCTTCCTTCCACAGTTACCCACCCCCAGAAAGGAGCTGAGGTGGCATGGACTCAAAATGTTAGTTGGTGGGCATGGACATGGCAGCGTGGAGGGCTGCTGGACCTTGCAGTGGGTGGAGGAGAAGGAGATGGGGGCAGTAGTTAGGAGATGGGGCTGGGGTCTAGAGAAGTGGGGAGGACCTGGGAGAAGCGTGTGTGCCCATGGAGCCCTCCCTCTGCCCAGGTCAATGTCCTGCACAGCATGAACCGGGTTGCCCACCCCAGCCACGTGCTCAGCTCCCAGCAGTTCCTGCACCGTGGTCACCAGCCCCCGCCTGAGATGGCTGGACACAGCCTAGCCAGCTCCCACAGAAACTCCAGTACGTAAGCCTGGTGGGGCTGGGCAGGGAGGGGCAGGTGGCAGGTGAGTGTGTTGGGACAGGTATCCTCCCCCTCCACCTCTGGGAGAGGACAAGGTAGGTGGAGCAATGGGTTCTGTTCCCTGTGGTACCTGCCTTAGTTGACAGCTATGGACCAATCCCTCTCTCCCTTTGGATCATTCACTTTCCCTTGTGAAGAACATGAGCCTTGTGTCATTGTAGGGATGCTTATGCCTGCAGTCATAAAGTCAGTGTGGGTTTAGGCGTGTTTGTTATACCTGATGATGCCTCCTTCCCCAGCCCCAAGCAATATCAAATTAGCCCTGGACCTAGGATCCTCTGTGGTGAAACTATCAAGTATTTACTAAGCACCTACTATGTACTAGCACTGTCCTAAGATGATCTAAATGATTTATAGGATAGATCAGTCCCTATCCCCAAGGAGAGAATTGGTACTATTACATGTAAAATTATGTGCTACGTATGCAGTCACAAGAATATTTCTAAAAAATATATGCAAATATGCAAAGCGTTACATTCAGATGGAGTGCTGCCCTTCAAAGCTGCCCTTCAAAGCAACCTGGCCGTGGTCCCAAAGGTTCCCGGTCATGGTCCTTTACGAATGGTGCAATTTTATTTTCAACTTTTGAGTTGCGTAATTGTAGAAAAACCAGAAAATATCAAATATTTCTTTTAAAGAAGAAAAATCAGGCCAGGCACAGTGGCTCATGCCTGTAATCCCAACACACTAGGCTGAGTCAGGAGGCTCACTTGAGTCCAGGAGTTTGAGACCAGCCTGGGCAACACAGTGAGACTCTGTCTTTACAAAAAATAAAAAAAATTAGCTGGGCATGGTGGCAGGTGCCTGTAGTCCCAGCTACTTGGGAGGCTGAGGTAGGAGGATCTCTTGGGCCTGTGAGGCCAAGGCTGCAGTGAGCCATGATCACACCACTGCACTCCAGTCTGGGAGACAGAGCAAGGCTCTGTCTCAAAGGAAAAAAAAAAAAAAAAAAGAAAGAAGAAGACGAGGAAAACTCAGCCATAATTCCGTCAGAGAGGAAACCACTGATAATATGAGTATTCTGTTCCAGTCTTTTTTCTATGCTTAATTTTTCCTTTTTAGAAAGTTAGGATTAGCCTATTTTGTAACCTGATATTTACACTTCATATTATAAAACAAGTATTTTCCCACATTATTAAAAATTGCAAATGATGCTGATGTTGTTGAAAGTGATTTTTGGAACCCCTTCTTAGAATTGCTTTCAGAGCCAATTTATGAGGTGCATTTATTTTTGTTATTTTTTGGACATAACTTGCTTTTGACCCTGTTCAGTGTTACTCAACTTCATCACCCAGTTTTGCCAAAGTTGAATCTGGATATAATTTTAAGTTTTTAAACATTAAACCCACTCTCAAAGGCCATAGATCGGTCACCTTTGAAAAGAGTCAAAAGGTTGTGTCACAGGCTTTTGAGAATTGAAGGCAATTCTCAAAGGAGTCCACTAGTGCTTTCTGGGAAGAAATTTGTGGTCTCTGAACACTATGTGAAAGTACAGAACTTATTTCAATATATGTGATGGGTAATAATAATTATAACAAACACAGGGTGCTCTCATCATGTGCCAGGCACTGTGCTCGGGGGATTACGCTTATTAACTCATTTAGCCATCATAAACAACCAATGAAATGGGTACCAGAATTATCCCCTTTACAGGCAAGGACACAGAGGCACAGAGAGTTCAAGTGCCTTACCCAAGTTCACGCAGCTAGAAAGTAAGTGGAGCCAGGATTTAAATCCAGGAGGCATGATTCCAGTCTGTGCACTAACCATGGCCCTCACCCTTCTCCCCAGATGTTTGATGCTTTAAAAAAGATTAGTCTTATTACTTTAGAGTTGCATATAATTAGGGGGAGCCCCTGAGGGGCTTCCCAGGGTTTTCTGACTGAGGCCAGCTCCTCTGATGCCCCCAGGGATTCAGTCTGGCTTCCTCTCCTTGTGCAACGGCCACCACCTACACTGTCTCTTATTTTATTTTATTTTATTTTTCTGGGACTGGCTCCCTTCTTCCTTGCTGTCCCTGAAAACAACCGCAGAGGCTTTTGGGAGGGAGAGACAGGGTCTTGTTCTGTCGCCTAGGCTGGAGAGCAGTGGTAATCCTAGCTCACTGGAGCCTCGAACTCCTGAGCTCAAGCAATCCTCCTGCCTTAGCCCCCTGAGGAGCAGATGCATGCCACTATGCCTGGCTATTTTTAAGACTTTTTATAGAGACAAGGTCTCACTTTGTTGCTCAGGCTGGTCTTGAACTCCTAGGCTCAAGCGGTCATCCTGGCTCAGCTTCCCGGAGTGCTGGGATTACAGGTGTGAGCCGCCGCACTTGGACTTGCAGACGCCTTTTTCAGTGTTCTACTGTGATTCACTATAGCAAGTAGGTGGAAGTGAGGATTAGCGGGGAATATAAGGCATAACCAAGCTGCAAAGATTAGAGAAGTTTCACATAGTATTTAGTCAATAGAGACATGTTAGCAAGCTAAACCTATTTATTTCAAATAAACTCTTGAGGCCAGCTATAAATTTTTTTCCTTCTTGTGATTCCATAGCACTTTCTCCAGTTCTTTCATTGGGGATCATTCCACTCAATCTTTTCTGGTTGGATACTAGGTCCTGCTACTCTGATTAGGCTCAAGGTAGATAGGGGTGCTGCCTGGCCTGGTGAGATTCTCGATCCTTACTTTCTTTGGTATAAGGCCCCAGGTGAGAGACTTCTTGTTCTAGGAGCCCAGCACCTTCTCCCCTGAGTGTCCAGCTGCCCTGCATGGGCTGGTCTGGCGGGCAGCGTTTCTCACCCCTCAGCCCCTGGAGGAGTGTCTGTTCACGGCACCCTTTCACCTCCCCTCGGTGAAGCCCAGTCTCCCCATCCTTTGTTCTGAGCTCATGTCCAGGCTGATCAAGCTTCCCTCAGATTTCAGTTGAGAGCAGCAGTTTTCCTTTGCTTCTTCTCTTATTTTGACCTGAATAGGACACAGAGTTCGTAGCTTCCCTGAGGGCACTGGTGATTGGCATGCCTGAGCTGACAGGCCATTCACGGCATAAAACCCTTTCCATATGCCTTTTCTGACTCCGCAAGGTGCTCCCTCCCTTTCACCTACAAATCTCGAGTGGTGTTGCAGAACTGTGGTTTCACAATATCAAACCATTCTAAACATGCAGAAGCAGTGAGAGGTACGATCTCCTCCAGTGGCACGGAGGCCCATTGCTCTAAATCTCCTAAGTGCACTAGAGAAAGAGAGATGAATGTGAACTGGAACCAGGGTAAACTGGAACAGTCAGGGGAGATTTTGTGGCACATGTAGAGTTTGCATTTGGACCTGAACTGTAAAAGGGATTTTTGGATGGGTGTGAGAGAGAATGGGAATTTGAGAACCGGGGGTAGATAGGTGGTTAAGAGTGTTTATGGTTAGAGAGAATAAGGTTGGTTGAGAAGAGCAAGCCGGATGATGAGGGTATTATGTATCTACTCATATCAAATTTTGATGACTGCCAGAATCACCTGGGGAGCTTTAAAAACTCTCGGCACCTAAATTATACCCTAGAATGTCTAGGGGGTGGGAGCCACGTGTCAGTGGTTTTTAAAAATCCCATGTAATCTTTAAAAGTTTGGGAATAATTTTCCTCTTTTGTTTCCTACAAGTATCTGAAGCTTTGCAGAAAGAGTTACAAAGCAATAGGACAAAAAGAAAATGAATGAGGAAGTAAGGAGGAACAGGTAATGATGAAATAAGGATCCAATGAAGCCAGGGAATAAAGTCAGCTCATAACATGCGTACTATGAGATGCTATGCAGTTGCTACCACGGGCCAGAATTTTGACCCTGAGCTTCTTCAAAGCTAAAGCAAAAGGAAACCTGAGCAGTTCTGAGAGCCGTGATAGGAGCCAAACGCTATTTCATGAAAAGCCCTGGGAGTGCGGGGGGCAGAAAGAAATCTCTCCCAAGGCTCTTTGCAAAGAGAGCACCGTGTGGGGCCATGGACAGGGCTTTCCACTGTCCTCGCAATCCCATGGACCATTTGCTAAGTCACCCCTTAATGTTGGCTCTGGAGGTCATTCAAGGCCAGAATTAACTGCTCAGATCTCATGTAGCAAGAAAAGCTGAACGCACTTCTTAAATTCTTGATTTTTATCTGTAGCTGATTTAAAAATCCTCCCATCTCCCCGGGCTCCTGACTCATCTTAAACTAATTAACCAGACTTGTTTGCTTGTAGATAGAGTGTCTGCATTTTGTCTTTCCTGTGGTCATTTCTTATTGTCCTGGCAATCAACTTGTCATTTCCTTCATTAGGCCAGGAGCTCGGAGGGACACTGCATTGATTAGGGCGCAAACCAGCTTTAGCTCGTCATCGTTGTGTGCTTAGAGGAAGTTCACCTGCTTTGGCCTCCACTCTGAGGGTGGGGTCACCACCCCTTCTGGAGCCTGGGCTTAGCCACTGGGCCCATCTGCCAGTGAAGGCACTGCCCCTGGCTCTGGTCTGTTGACGTGGAGACCTGAGAGACACTATTTCCTGCAGATGGGCAGGAGAGACAGCTCTGTCCCCTCCTCCCTTATCCCCCGTTCCCAGGAAGTTGAGAAATACTGATCCAGCCAGTCCTGTCTTCACCTTGGAACCAGTGTCGAGGGAGTGTGCCCCAGCAGAGTCCGTTCTAATTGGCTGGTGGCCTCAAGTGGGCTGTGGGTCAGGATGGGGACCAACTTGGCAGACAGCCATCAGGGTGGCCTCAGGGAGGTGTGTGGCCTGCCCAGGCAGGGCATTCTCCACACACCTAGTTGGCCCTGGAGTGCGTGGCAGCTGAGTGTGCTGGCTGCTGGGGAGAGGGGCGCTGCAGCAGGGTGTGGGTGTGAGTGTGAGGAGCTCCTGGGCCATGCGCTTCCCTACGCTCTGCTCTGTCTGTTGACACATGAGTCTCAGGCTGTAGGTAATTTGCGGACGGGGCTGGAATGCGATGTGTGTATTTTTCTAGGGGCTTGCTTGTGTGACTGCTGGTCTCTGTGTGTGTTTGGGGCACACATACATGGAATAGTCCCTCAGCAACGGGACCGCCCAGGGAGGAGCTGCTGTGTATGCATGGTGGGCAGGGGTGTGCACCCATGTGGGGAGTAGTGACCCAGCTGCCCGTAAGGGCCCTGGGCCTGGAGGTGCGTGTGTGGGGTCTCTGCCTCCACCTGCTGTCCCTGGGGCTGCGGGCTTTCCTGCTTTTCTTCCTTGTGCTTCTTCGAGAGCTGTGTGTGTGTGTGCAGGAGGCAGGCAGGGCTGTGCTCATGGCGGCTCGCTCTGTGGCCCTCACGGCCCACGTCTGTAGTGTCTATGTCTTCCTTCAGGGGGTTGCCTGGTCTGCCCAGCTGGTGGGGAGCTGGGTGATGCTGCACATATGGCTCTACCGTGCCTTGCTGGAGACCCCCAGACGCGTTCCTTTACTCCCGCAGTGTGAGCAGGCGGCCAGGTGGCTGGTGTGGGCCAGCATGCAGGCTGGCAAAGGCCTGGCTCGGGTGTGGGGCGTGGCAACCTTTGTGCAGCTGTGTGCCCACACGGTCTTCCTGAGCATGTACCTGTGCATGCACATCTGCTTTGCCGCCATCAGCTCTAAGGTCCGTGTGAGAGTGAACGCACCGTTCTGTGTCTCAGTGCCCTTGAAGGTCCATGCCCCTCTGAGCCTGGGCATCAAAGTGGGGCTGCAGGGCCAGAAGCATGGGAGAGCCACGGGGGAGGCAGGTATGCCTCAGGGGGAGATGTTGGGGAAGCAGGAACCCCAGACGTCCCGGAGCCCCAAGCCCACCAGGAGAAGGGAGGTGTCACGGAGTGAGCTCAGTCCAGGTGGGTAAGGGAAGGGGCTGCTCTGTGCCCCTTGGACTTGTCCCCAGCCTCAGGTGCTAGTGCCCTCTTCCTGCAGCCAGCCCAGGCCTGGAGCCTGCATCTCCTCCTGCTCAGCCAAGCCCGTGTGGGGGCCCCTCCTCTCCCTCACTGGGCACTGGCACCTCTTTCCTAGGCTGAGTGGTCTCTGGGGAAGGCACAGGTGGAATGACAGGGGCAGATTCCAGTCCTTGCCCTCTGTCCTCTGCGAATAGGGCTGTTCATGACAGTGTTGGGCAGGGAGTCTTTTTCCTCCTCTGCCCTTGCCTCTCTGTACACCTGCCTCCCTCTGTGTTTGTTCCTTTGCCTTGCAGCAGCTCCCTTCCTCCCCTTTCGTCTCCTGCCCTTCCTGGTGGGCTGTTTCTCTTCTGGCTTCTCCAGGTGTTCCTCTCTTCTCGGCCACCGTGTGTTCTGCCCTGGGAGTCCTTCAGCCCGGGCTGCCTCTTTTCCTACCCAGCCCCCTGTCCAAGTGCCCCCAGGTGTGCCTAGTCACGCTCTGCTCACCCCCGCGCTCTCTCTGCAGTGATACCCAGCGCCGCAACCCTCATCATTGTGGTGTGCGTGGGCTTCCTGGTGCTCATGGTCGTCCTGGGCCTGGTGCGCATCCATTCCCTTCACCGCCGCGTCTCAGGGGCCGGCGGGCCTCCAGGGGCCTCCAGTGACCCCAAGGACCCAGACCTCTTCTGGGATGACTCAGCTCTCACCATCATTGTGAACCCCATGGAGGTGAGAGGCCTGGGGAAGCGGGGTTCTGTAGGGTCAAGACTGTGGAGCACACACGGTGAGGACTCCTGAGGAGGGGCAGGCCTGGGTGGAGGCTGTTCGCAGAGCTGCAGTGAGCCGGAGGGAGAGAGGTTCAGGCAGGGAAGGGGGTACACAGGGGTTAAGGGGACCGAGGGAAGTGTGGTCCCTGAAAGAGAGGCTGGGATGTGTGCAGGCCATTGATCCCTTCTCCTCTCTGTTCCTGCCCTCCAGTCCTACCAGAATCGGCAGTCCTGTGTGACGGGGGCTGTTGGGGGCCAGCAGGAGGATGAGGACAGCAGTGACTCGGAGGTGGCCGATTCCCCCAGCAGCGACGAGAGACGCATCATCGAGACCCCCCCACACCGCTACTAAGGCCTACACCTCTCCCCACGCAGAGGGGGAATTCTGCCCTGGTGAAACAGACACTCCAGACATGGGAGAAGGACTTTCTGGGAACACAGAGACCAAGAGGGAGAGAGGCTTCAGAACCAGTCCTCCTTTCATTTCAAAACCCCAGCGGGCCCTCTGGAGTCCGCCCTGCCCCTCCCCCGGCCCCCCATCCCTCACTTCTGGGCTGTCATGCTCCTGGTGTGCCCCTTGCACTGGGGCTGGCTGGGTTGGAAAGTGGGCTGGACTTCAGCTGCCTTTCTACCCCCAATGGCAGCTGCCCCCTTAGCACTCACTGTGTTGGGGAGAGGGTGACGATTGCAATGGCTGGGGCTGGGGCTGGGGGTGGGATTGAAGGAAACCCTCTCCTCTCCCCTTCCCTTCTCTCTCCTGTCCATGGGAAGCTTTTCCCCCTCTGCAGGGCTCCCTCAGCTGGACCATCGTCCCTGCTTCTCTTATGATCGCCCCACCTCATTTCCATTTCAGTCTGGGGACCCCATTTCTCCCTCCTTTCCAACTTCCTTCCTTTCTTGTCCTGTTTCCCTTCCTGCCCTTGCAGTCCTGAGGTCCTGCAGCCCCGGCCCCTCCTCCGTGACCTGGTGTGGCCAGGCTGCGGGGACGGGAGGGGACGTGGGGGCCCCGGGTGTACATATATAATGTATATTTTTTCAATGTTGTCGTGAGTGCAGCCCATGTTCCTGCGTGCAGCTCACGGCCTTGTGTGTATGTGTGTGTGTGTGTGTGTGTGAGGCATCGTCATGTCCTGGGGCAGGGGCGGGGGGTTGGGTGTGGTGAGGGAGGGGACATATCCTAGGGTTTTCAAATAAAACAATCAGAAAAAAAAAAAAAGCTCTGTGAGGCGCCTCCTGACTGCCTGGTCCTGTGTGGGTGTGGTGGAGGCTCTGGGGCCTCAGGGGCTGTTTGGGTCTCTGCACAGAGCTGAAGTGAGGTGGGCAGGGCTGGTGATCTTGGGGGCCTGACCAGGTAAGTCCCCAGGATGCCAGATCACCTGGAAAGTAAGCTGGGGGCAGATGGTTCCCACGCCTCCCTTCCTTCAGCACCCCCTGGAAAAGTACAGAAGATTCAGGGAATGCTATGGACACCTGGGCAGATGCCCAGTGCCTTGCAGGGGTGCTGCCAACCCCGCCCCACAACTTGGAACATTTTGCCTGTGCACATGGGCTCCCTGCTGGGCGGCCCCAGGGAGAAGGCAGGCAACCCTGCTGTTTGTACCAAAGGGATCTGGAGACTGTTCCCAGGCTGACCCTTTCCTGCTAGCCAAGGCTCAGACCCAGGGGATGTCTGCCTGCCTTGCCCATGTCCTTGTGGCTGCCTCACATGGCTGCTTAGTGGCCTCCGCCCTCTCCACTCGGGCCCAGCCCCTGGCCTGACAGCAGGCAGAGTCTGGCCCTTCTGCAGCCTTTTGGGCCACTAGTTCTCTGACCCAGGTCTTACTTAAGCCCCAGGTGATAAAGGATGATAACCCCAAGGGGTTATTTCAGAAGAGTGAACTGCTGGTGGGAGCATCCCTCTGGTGCTGTCCTGGCCCAAGAAATACCAGGGATCCAAGTCTTAGTTCCTTCCTGCAGCATGACAGAGTAGGGCATCCTTAGGCTCTTCCTGGTTCTCTGCGGCTGCCTGTAGCACAGTTGGGGTGGAGGTGGGTGCTCCGCCTGACGCCCGTTCTGACATCCACCGGGTGCCTTGTCCTTGCCCATGGCCGCAAACTCCCAGTTGCATGTTGATGCCTCCATATTTTTATCTCCCACCTGAATCTCTCTCCTAACTCACATTTGCAACTACCTATTGGCATATCCACCTGCCCTTCCTGTGCCTCAGACTCCACCTTTCCCCGACTTCTCTGTGACCTATCCCTATCACCTTTCACCCATTCGCCTATGCCAGAAATCTGAGAGTCAGTCTAGATTCCTCCCTCTCCCTCAACCCCATGGCCAAATGGTGATGAAACCCTGTCGTTCTTACCCCTTAAAAATCTCTCCAATAGGTCTTTTGCTTTCTATTCCCCTTATTGCTGCCGCCGCCTTGACCTGTACCCTCTGTGTTTTTGCCTGGTCTGTGGCAAGAGCCTCCCACCTGCCTCCCACCTGCCTCCCACCTGTCCTCCCACCTGTCCTCCCACCTCTCCTCCCACCTGCCTCCCACCTGTCCTCCCGCCTGCCTCCCACCTGCCTCCCACCTCTCCTCCCACCTGCCTCCCACCTGTCCTCCCACCTGCCTCCCACCTGCCTCCCACCTGCCTCGCACCTGCCTTCCACCTGTCCTCGTCTCCTATGCCTTGCTCTACTCCACCCCGTCCTCAACTCTGGATCTCAGTGGCCTTTCTCAAGTGCAACTCTGGTTGGACCACTCTCCGGTAGAGCAACTTTCCTACCTCCTTGTCAGGCCTAGGTCAAGTCCTGACGCCTTAGCCCCTTAACCAGGTGGGGCAGGTCCTGCCTTCCTCCTTCTCTGGCCTCTTTGCGGCCACCACCCCTGCACCCCTGCGGTGGGGTCACAGAAATCACATATGCTTCCCACACACACCCTGCTTTCTCGCCTCTGTGTCTGCATGTACTGTTCCCTCTGCCTGGCATGTCCCTTACCCATTGTGTGCCTGGCAGTCTTCTACTATCACTGAAGACCCGGTTCAAGAGTTGCCTCTACCAGGAGTTCTGCTGTGCTCTGGGAGCCCTTATTCACGCCTCCATGATGGTATTGACTACAAAGCTGAGGGACATGTCTGTCTCTCCACAGATTCTCTGTATCCCCAGCAACTTGCACAGGGCCTGGCACACAGTAGGGGCTCAGTCAGTGGTGACTGAGGTGATGTGTATGGCTCTCAGACTCAGGGAAGACTCACTGGTAGGAAGAGAGAGGAGAGCTCCGTTGGTGGCCCATGGCATGGGAGGTCCAAGGCTGAGCATGGCCAAGCAGACGCCCTGTAGTGGCCTCTCCTGTAGTCTAGGTCTGCCTAGATGCCAAGCTGATGTTCTGGGGTCTGAGGCAATACTGCATAGGAGACCGCCTTGCCTGTCTACCTAGAGTCTTCCAGAGGCTCAAAAGGTCACAGACTTCAGACATCTGAGAGCTTTGGCTCTCAAAGGGGCTTGAGAGTTTTTATTAATAGTTTGTGGTCCTGAATTTCAGTGGGTGAAGTTCAGCCCCCTCCTCCTTCTTGTCATCGTCTTAGTCCTCACCTACCCTGTCTCGGAGATGCAGCTTCCCATGAAGAGGAGCAGAAGCCAAGCAGGTTCTATTATTTTTGTGTGTGTCCTTGACACTTGAGGCTCGGGGGTCCTTATTCACTTCTAGCTCAAGTCTCAGGGATAGGGGCTGTGGGTAAGAAGGCAAGCTTGCCATGAACTCTGCTTCCCTCTTGATGCACACGCCCCTGCAGACTGCCACAAAGTAGCATATGTCCTTCTCTTAGTGTCTGCCCAGCCTCGGCCTGACTCTTGGCCTTCCTGGATCAGCTGCCTCTGGGGCTGGACATGGGTTTTTCTCTTAAATGCAACCACTCTACCTGAGATTCCTGGAAACTCTCCAGAATCAGAAGCCCTCACCTCTGATTATTTCTTCTGGTGTAACCTTTCCCGGCCCTCCTCTTCACCCTCAGTGTTTGATGCCCAAGTCTTGGCCCATGGTTAGCACATCTCCCCATGTGACTACTGGGCCCATCGAGATGTTACCTGGGGTGGGGGTATACATGGGCACCAGAGGCCTGGGGAAGACCATGAATTCCTTGTGCCACCACATGCCCTGAACTTCTGCTGTCACTCGCTGACTTCCCTCCCTCTCTCAATCTCTGCCTGTCTCTGACACACACACTCGCACACACACTAAACAGGGATCAGGCTTGAGGCAGGAGGCCAGCTCCAGTGACGCAGGGAAAGGGCAGCAGGCAGGATTCTGCATGGGTTTTTATTTTGTTGCTCAAGATCTCCTGGAAAGATGTTTCCTAACCTCCCTCAAAGAAGCTGGCAAAGCCTGGGGCTATCAGGCCCGGGGCAGGGTTTCCAATTCACCTATTCCCAATTTCATTTGAAACAGCAAACACATTTGCCTTGGCATCACTCAAACCGTTCTTTCTGCAATGGAAGGCTGTTTTCCTCTCAAGTCTACTCTCCGCAATGACAATTAATTAGCTTCTCTAAAGGTGCATGATGAAAAGCATGCCCTCGGGGAAAAGCGATGCTCTAGAGGCAACTGGGTTAACCACCAGTTCAAGAACAAAGTGTGTCCTTCTTCCTGTTACCAAACCAGAGTCCTGGAAACTCGCTTTTGTGCCGTCAGAGCAGCTGGACACAAATGCACTGGCGGTGGGCAGAGGTGTGGCTCTACCCACTTTCAAAGTCTGCACTCCACCCTGCAGCCTTTGGGCTGATGCACCTTCACCCTGGGGGCTTCACTGGGGTGGGCCTAGAAGGTCACATGTGCTCCCAGCCTTCTAGGTGCTGTGGGAGATCTCACGTTCCCTTCAGATTTTAGGTCCATGTCAGGGGCTCCCCAAAGTAGATCCCCTATATCCCCAGACCTGTCCCAACTAGGAGCTCTTCTTTCACCAGTCCAGAAGAGCTGGTGAAACTTTCAGACTCTGAGGTGTTTCCCTGATTTGTCCATAAGTGTGAAATGGAGATGAGTGTGTCCATTAGGTTCCTCGGTGCAGTTTCCTAAACTCCCCAGCAACCTGCGGAGGCTCTCAGTGTGCTCCCTCTGGCGGCCTCCTGGGAGAACGGAAGAACGGGAGGAAGGGAGACAGGTGTGGAGAGAGATGGGTGAGCCCGGGCAGGTGGGCGCGTTTGACAGGCAGAGAGGAGGAGCTGACGCGCCAGCCTCCACGGTGCTGGCGTCACTGCCTCTCCTGCGGCACCACGCTGCGGAGCACTTAAAATACCCACGTCCTACAGGAAGAGGACAGATGAGGCTCTAAATTTAGCGACAGTGGGTAGGTGGAGGGGGAATGAAGACTCCGGGATGTGGTGGAGCTGGCGTTGTCAGAAAAGGAGTAGGAATCCTGTATTTCCTGGGTGGGGATTCTAATTCATAAGGATAAGGGAGCTTCTGTCCCAATATCCGATCTCAGCGACCTGACTCCAGTTTCAGAAGTTCTCACCCCAGCTCTGTGGCCCCTCTCCCACCTCCCCCATCGGACGTGGTCTCTTCCCTTCCACACTTAAAGGTTGGGATTGTGCTACCCTTTCTCCTTGGGTCGCAGTGTGGCTGGCTCTGGGGGAAGAGGGTGTTACCAGGGGGCAAAAGCAGCATTTAAGAAAACTTCTGATTTTTAGTTAGGTCACTGGAAGGAGAGTAGTTTTCCTTCCATGGCACTACAGAGAAGAAAGGTAAGTCCAAAGGCAAGAAGCAGTGAAGCGGGGCAAACACAGTTTCCAGACAACAACTGCGCAAAGCCCCAGGGTACCAGGCCCAAGGAGGATGCAGGCTGCTCGTGCCACTTGCCCCCTGAAAGTCTAGCCCCCTCCCAGACCATTGGACGACTTCCCCTCTTCCTCGGGGACGTATTCTTGCTATGCCATCTTTTTGGTTTGGGGAAATCCCAAAGCACAGAGGCCTCCTTTTGCTGGGTGCAATGGTCGTGGGGAGGGGTTTAAGAACGTGGACTTTGCTGTCAGTGCTGCCTGTGTTCAAATCCCAGGAACTTAGTGTTGAGTCTTGGTCTTCAGCTTCTCTAAGGGTTGGTTCATCACGTAAACGGGGAAATTACTTACTCAAGGGGTTGAATGAGGCTTAAATAAGATAACCTTTTCTGAATAACTCAGAGTTGACATGCTGTAAAGTGCATGCTACTTGTTAGCTATCGTTGTCATTAATTACTGGGAGGTAAACAAAACCATCCTTAGTTCCAGTGATGCTGGGGTCTTTAAAAGCATAGGGTTTTAGGGATGGCAGAATTCCTCAAGCTTCTCCCATCTGAAGCCCAGACAGCATGTGGTTGTGATTTTGAACACATGCTTTGGAGCCAGACACACCTGGGTTTTTTCACGTTGGCAGCTCACAGAAGCTTACTGTGGCTAATGCCCATAGGAGTGTGACTATCATTGCCAGACTGTTTTAAACAGGCACAGTGTTATTATTTAAACAGGCACAGTGTTATTATTTAAACAGGCACAGTGTTATTACTATTATTATTATTTGAGATGGAGTTTCACATTTGTTGCCCAGGCTGGAGTGCAATGGCGCGTTCTCAGCTCACCGCAACCTCCGCTTCCTGGGTTCAAGCGATTCCCCTGCCTTAGTCTCCGGAGTAGCTGGGATTACAGGCATGTGCCACCATGCCCGGCTAAATTTTGTATTTTTTTTTTTTTTGAGACGGAGACTCGCTCTGTCACCCAGGCTGGAGTGCAGTGGCGCCATCTCGGCTCACTGCAAGCTCCGCCTCCTGGGTTCATGCCATTCTCCTGGCTCAGCCTCCCGAGTATCTACAGGCACCTACCACCATGCCCGGCTAATTTTTTATATTTTTAGTAGAGATGGGGTTTCTCCATGTTAGTCAAGCTGGTCTCGAATTCCCGACCTCAGGTGATCCGCCCATCTCGGCCTCCCAAAGTGCTGGGATTACAGGCGTGAGCCACCGCGCCTGGCCTGTTATTTATTATTTTTTAACAGATGGGGACTGTAGCAGACAGGAACTGAGCTGCTAGGGTCTTAGTAAGCAAGATCTCACAGAGTTTTGGATTCCAACTTCTGTGGCCAATTTTGAGCTGCATGAGCAAAGGTGATCTAGTGCTGCACGGAAGGCAAAGATAGAGGAGGATAGCTCACCATATAGAAAGTCTTTTGGACTCAGAAGGGGCAGAATCTCAAAAGATTCTCAAAAATAAAAGCTTTCTAGGTAAGCATTGGTGGATGGAATGATTTTTTGTTTTGTTGTGTTTTTCAGCCAGGTTTTCAGTCCGAGCTTCAAATCTAAAAAGAAGCTAAGTTGCTCTCCCAAGCATGTGTGTGTGAGCTTTGTGCAGGCCTAAGTGGGCCATGCCTGGTCTTATTGTCACTGGGAGCTGTACCATGAGATGAGACAGTAAAATGTGGAGGTGTCTTGAGCTCAGATCATGAGGCTTGTCCACAAGCTCTGAGGAGTTACTTCCAACCATCTCAAGGTAGGTGTTGAATTGTAATCTTTATCATCCTTTGGTTACCTATACAATCCTTGGCCATGAAGTTGAATTTTGGAGACCTAGACTGTGGCTTTACTCACTAAGTATATTATATTTTTCCCAATGTAGATATCAAAAGGAGGAAGAATCCCTTATTATATACCATTTTCTTGTTAGGATGTAGAGATAACTGAACTTACTGCAAACCCAAAGGCTCAAGAAGGCAATTACAATGCCTATGTTTAAAACATTCTAAGAATCAGATTTGCTCAAGGAATCAAGGAAGAACTAGTTAAAGACAACGGCAGCAGCAACAACAAAACAACGTAGAATTTTGTCTTTCTTCTGGAACGGGTGCAGTGGAAATAAATAAAAACAAAAGAAAAAAAAGGCTGATTAAGATGGGGGAAGAGGGAAATTTCATTGGGAGAAAGGCTTATGGTCTTTGAAGACAAGCTAGACAATGTTAAAGAAGTATGAGGACTTAGAGGCCAGGCCAGATGGGTATGTAAGTGAAAAGGTGTATGTGGGTCTGATGACCCTCAATTAGAGGATTAGACAAGGCCATTGACAGGGCTATAGAGTCTGGTGAGACAAGAAAAATGCAAAACAAAATGCAGAACTTATTAAGCGAGGAAAACTTGCTAAGGATCCAGGTATGGGTGCAGTACTGTTCCATCTACCTAAGATGGGAGAAGGCACAATGCAGAAGATGCCCTGCTGATGTGAGCTGTGAAACAGTCCAGCCAAAAGCCTGGCCTGTGGTCAGCAGAGGTAAATCTACCAGGAGAATGCTCATGAGGTCACTGGTGAGAATTACCTTGGCAGAAAGTAGCTCTCTTGTCCTGCTCTTCAATCTGACAAGTCACTGTTTTATAGCACTGTCTTAGTCAATTGGGCTGCTGTAACAGAATACCATAGCCTGGGTGGCTTAAACCAGGGATCCCCAACCCCTGGATCACTGATTGGTACCAGTCCGTGGTCTGTTAGAAACTGCGCTGCCACAGAAGGAGGTGAGTGGTAGGCAAGCAAGTGAAGCTTCTTTTGTATTTATAGCTGCTCCCCATTGCTGGCATTACTGCCTAAGCTTTGCCTCCTGTCGGAGCAGTGGCAGCATTAGATTCTCATAGGAGCACAAACCCTGTCGTGAACTGTGCATGTGAGGGATCTAGGTTGTGTGCTCCTTGTGAGAATCTAATGCCTGATGACCTGTCAATGTCTCCCATCATCCCCAGATAGGATGTCTAGTTGTAGGAAAACAAGTTCAGGGCTCCCAGTGATTCTACATTATGGTGAGTTGTACAATTATTTTACTATGTATTGCAGTGTAATAATAATAGAAATAAAGTGCACAATAAATGTAATGTGCTTGAATCATCCTGAAACCATTCCACCCTCCAGTCTCTGGAAAAATTGTCCTCCATGAAACTGATCCCTGGTGCCAAAAAGGTTGGTGACCACTGGCTTAAAATACATACATTTATTCCTCACAATTCTGTTGGCTGGGAAGTTCAAGATCCAGGTGTCAGCAGATTTGGTTCCTGGTGAGGGCTCTCTTCCTAGTTGGTAGACATCTATCTTCTTGCACATGGTGGAGAGCAGAGAGAGTGAGGATGAGCACTCATATCTCTTTTTATAAGGAAAGACACTAATTGCATTAACGGGAGCTCTACCTTCATGACCTAATTACCTCCCAAAGGCTCCACCTTCTAATATTATTGCAGTTTTTGCCATTTTTTAAAATGGCAAAACCACAGTTACTTTTGCACCAACCTAATGCCATCACGTTGGGGATTAGGATTTCAACATATAAATTTTTTAGGAGGAGGGGACACAAACATTCATTCCATAATAGGTACTAAGTTTTTGACCTAATAACCACAATCTTCCTGAGAAGGTCAAACTGCTTTGCTTAGTGGGGTAAATGACTCTACAACTCTGACAAGGTGTGAAACTTAGTATAGAGTCAGTGAGGTAAATTATAATATTGTGAAGTCAAGTTTAAGATAAATTTAAAAATCTGTATGAATTTAAGTTAAACCTGAATTTAAATTGTGTTTTCAACTTGAAATATGTGATTTTAGACTGATGAGTTTCAGTTGAAAGGTATAAGATGCTGCTTAAGCTTATAAGCAGTATTAGAACATTTAGGACACATCAAACATCTGAACATGGCAAATCAAGTAATTAGATTTACAGGAGTTGCTGAAGTGGTGAGAAAGATTTTGCATATAAGGATTCTAAGTCTACCTTGTCAGGCAATGAAAAGCATGAGGAAAAGAAACTCAATATATTAAGCATGTGAATATGGTTTATATCAGTTATGAAAAATGTGCTAACTTTGTAAATAGGACTCATTGCTAAGAAAATGTAAATCTGTTTGAGTTAAACATCAATCAAAGAACAAGTGGAAGTGATTTTTTCAAAAACAACACTTAGTACATTTATAGACAGAATTTCAAGATTTGTAATTCGAATTTAAAGGCTTATGCAAAATCAGATTTTATAATTATAATTTTAATAAACATTGATTAAAAACCCAGATACCTGGAAATAGTCTTTCTCACACACATTAGACATTTAAAATATTCACAGTGATGGTTGTGTGTGTGTGTGTGAAACTTGTATCAGTAATTAGATCAGAAAGAATGATGCACTCCAAAGAAATCTAAGAGATGGAGAAGAGATGGCCCAAAAAGGACTGGAGACACAAATTTGAGAAGCTTAAAAAAAAAACACAACGGGTTATAGTATTGAAAGCAAAATTTCCCATAATTTAGCAAACCAGTACCTCAAGAAAGTTTGATTTTAACATGTAGACCATTTTTTAGAAGTCTATTTTATTTATTTTTAATTTTTAATTTTTTTTTGAGACAGAGGAGTCTCCCTCTGTCACCCAGGTAGCAGTGCAGTGGCGTGATCTCATCAGCTCACTGCAACCTCTGCCTCTGGGGTTCACGTGATTCTCCTGCCTCAGCCACCCAAGTAGCTGGGATTACAGGTGCCTGCCACCATGTCCAGCTAATTTTTGTATTTTTAGTAGAGATGGGTTTTCACCATGTTGGCCAGGCTAGTCTTTAACCCCTGACCTCAGGTGATCCACCCACCTTGGCCTCCCAAAGTAGAAAGTCTATTTTAAACAATTTTAATTACAGCTAGCTTAATCATACACAGAATTCCTTTCATAAATTCCCCTTCATGAACCTTATCATGACTTACAAAGACCATTTACAACATGCTTGGACTTTTTGACTTGTCTTTACTATCTCTTTCTTAAATAACCAGCCATTTTATTTTCAGTTCTTAAATGTGTGTTTTGCCTGCAGTGCTTTTTGCTTTGACTTTTTGTTAACTGTATTTGGGCAATTGTTTAAAGCAGGTCACTTGGTTGTGAGAGCCCTCCCATTGTGTTGACTCTGGGACGCTGGAGTCATATTGTTCTGTGGCTCCCACCAGGCCTTTGGGATTCACTGTTGGCTTTTCCCTAGATGCTCTGAAGTTATTGGCATTGGTTAGCTCCCAGGTACTCTGGAATTTCTGGCATTTGGTGTAGGGACCCTCACTGGCTGATACTCTGGTACTCTGGATTTTTGGCATTTGGTTTTGTTGGCCACACTCTGAATGCTCTAGGGCTTTCAGCATTGGTGTTCCCTCTAGGATTGTGGGTTGAAGGCACACCCTAGGGGGAATCTTGGTCTTGCCTTTTCTTGTTTCCTGACCTAAAGTTATCATTTTCCATAACAGCATTTTCTTTTCTTATTGTCACTTTATTTGCACTTTTCCTTTTACATTTTGCTTTAAAAAATACTCCTTTTGTCATAGTTCATTCACTGGCAAATCCTTATAACCCACTTTCATAACGCCTTGCTACTTATACTTACACCTTCTCAGCAGGAAGTGAGAATCTAAAAGGAAAACATAGTAAAAGCCCAGTTCCTTTTCCTTTCACTAGACTTAGAAAAACTATGTCCGGTAGAAACATGGGACATGGGACAATGACAGGTATCCCAGAGGACTTGCCACTTGGGTTGTCTTTTAGGCTATTAGAGCAAATTCAAATTTGGCCTCAAGAAAAAGCAACTCATATTCTATTGCAATACCACTTGGTTTCAATACAAATTAGAAAACCAATAGATTTGGCCTAAACATGGTTCTATATGTTATAATAATATTTTACGATTAGACTCATTCTGTAAAGAAGAACGGAAATGAGAGGAGATCCCTTGTGTACAGGCTTTTATGGTCCTTTATTGGCTCATGTTACTTCTAAGTAACAGGAAGCTGTGCCTAAGGGATCCCCTCCTAGCTGCTCCCCCTAGAAGGCCTATGGCCTCCCTGGAGTCTCCTCAGTCCCCCAGTTCTGAGGGGGGTCCTGCCAGTTCTCTAATGAAGAATTCCACCCAAGGTCATTGGGCACCCCTTCCTCTTATCCAGCTACCCCAGCCTATACACCCTGCTGCCTGAGAAAGTACCAACCAGTACCACCAGGAGTAGGGCTCCATATCAGCTCCAAAAATCAAACCTGTGTCCATTGAGGGAGGTGCCTGATAGAAATGAGGAAACAGAGTACATGTGCCATTTTCTATGTGTGATTTAGTTTTATACAAGGAAAAATTTGGCCAGAGAATCCAGAAAAATTTATAAAAGAATTTGTTAAATAGACTATGTTTTTTAATTTAACACATCATGTCTTGCAAGTATTGTCATCTGCTTGCTGTGCTGTGGAAAAAAAGCAGAAGAAAAGGTGTGTGGTTAAGCCAGTGAATTATGACAAGGTGAGAGAAATAACTCAAAGACAAAATTCCCACTGTTTCAAGGTCATTTGTTTGAGACACTCAGGAAATATACCAATGCAGACCCAGACTCCTCAGAAGGGCAAGCTCTCCTGAGTATACATTTTACTACTCAATCTGCCCCTGACATTAGGAGGAAGCTACAAAAAGCAGCAATGGGACTTTAAACCTCCAAAGTCAACATTTAAACATGGCCTATAAAGTTTACAACAATAGGGCCAGGGCAAAAGAGGTGAAAAAAACAACAAAAAATAGCCCAAAAGTTCAATTGTTAACAGTTACTTTAAGCCCCCTGCCACCTCAAAGTTGCCCATCCCAAGAAAGTGTCACAAGATCAGCATCTGGGATGCCCAGACAAGAGCCCATATGTGTCTACCATAAGCAAAAGGGCCACTGGCAATGAGAATGTCCTAACTGTCCCTGGTGAGATAGGGAAAAAACTCCCTGTCAATACAGAGCTAACCTTCCATTAGCTACACTTAGTTGTCTTGCTCAAATAAGTTTACTGGGGGTCTTAGACCCTGACTCAATGGACAGTTTCCCACAGTGGTAGACAAGTGGCTGGCTGAACATTTTTCTTCAATATCTCCACTGCTGTATGAGCTCTCTGGCAGCCTGGGTACTCCAAGGTCTTTCCTTGAGCAATGCAGTTTGCCTTCTCCCTTCCTTATTTAATGCTATGGGATTTCCTTCCCTGCCTTTTCCTGTCTTCCATATCTACTGGGGCAAAAAAAATTTTGGCCTAATAGATGGTCCCAATTTTGTAAATAATTTGAATCCAGCTGTCTTATATAGGTCACTTCATTCATATAATATGTGTTGTGTCTAGCATGCTATCAAATTGCCTTATAAAAGAATGCTCATAAATTAAACAGATTAGATGATTGTAAACTTACTAGTTTTTAAAAAAATGTTGTATCTTCTACAATTTAACTTTAAGATTTTTACCTAAATAAACTATTAATATTCATAGGCTTAAAAATGATTACAATAGCTTTAAGTGGTGACTAGCTTTGTGTGGTTATTTTGGTTCTTGGTGGTAGTCTAGATAAAACTATTAAAAGTGAAATCTTAAATACGTCTAAATGCTGAGACCAGCTCAGTTGGGGAGACCCTAACCCAGCGGCGCTAGAGAAATTAAAGACACACACACACAGAAATATAGAGATGTGAAGTGGGAAATGAGGGGTTTCACAGCCTTCAGAGCTGAGAGCCTCGAACAGAGATTTACTCATGTATTTATTAACAGCAAGCCAGTCATTAGCATTGTTCCTATAGATATTAGATTAACTAAAAGTATCCCTTATGGGAAACGAAGGGATGGGCTGAAATAAAGGGATGAGTTGGGCTAGTTATCTGCAGCAGGAGCATGTCCTTAAGGCACAGATCGCTCATGCTATTGTTTGTGGTGTAAGAATGCCTTTAAGCAGTTTTCCGCCCTAGGCAGGCCAGGTGTTCCTTGCCCTCATTCTGGTAAACCCACAACCTTCCAGCATGGGTGTTATGGCCATCATGAATATGTCACAGTGCTGCAGAGATTTTGTTTATGGCCAGTTTTGGGGCCAGTTTATGGCCAGATTTTGGGGGGCCTGTTCCCAACATCTAAATATAATAGATACTTAAACAGTGAACTTTTTGTGTGGTTTAAAATCTTGAAATTGTGCAATGGTTCTCATCTATAAAATGTCAGTGTTTCATGGGCAGTGCAGGATTTCTTACATCCTTGGTTTATATAAAATATGACAAAAATTATATTCTTTATTGGGGAATAATAATAATAGTTTTTGTTTAATTTAAAAATTATTGAGAGGTTCAAAATATGAGGGAGCCAGTAAGTTAAAAAAATTATATAAAAAATTACAGATTAAAAGATTTTTGGCAAGTAAAAATATAAAGAATAATTTTGTATGAAGAGGGATCTTGTAAATTCTTGTCCTAAAATAAAATGACTCGTTATGTAAGAAAGAGATAGTATAAGACAAGTCAAAAAGTCCAAGCATATTGTATGGTCTGTGTAAGTCATGATAAGGTTTATGAAGGGGATTTATGTATGGAATTCTGGGTATAATTTAACTAGTTGTAATTAAAACAAAATCATTTAAAATAGACTTTCTGAAAAATGGTCTACATGCTAAAACCAAATTTTCATAAGATATTAATTTGCTAAATTATGGGAAATTTTACTTTTAATATTATAACATGGGGGCAGTACATCCAACTCAAATTCCAGAATTTCTTTTTTTTTTTCTTTGAGACAAGGTCTCACTCTGCAGCCTAGGCTGGAGTGCAGTGGCACGATCATAGCTCACTGCAGCCTTGACCTTTTGGGCTCAAGTGATCCCCCCTCAGCCTCCTGAGTAGCTGAATCTATGGGTATGCACCATCACACCTGGGGCATGGGTGTACAACTTGGCTTTTTCTCCCAGGAGGCTTAGCTATGGGCAAAAACTATAGACTCATTAAATGAACTCCGAGGCTACTCTGTATCCAAGGCTGACATTCTACTCAGTAGTTTATTCCTATCCCACACATGCCCAGCCTCATTTGTCTCACTACCCAAAATCCTCACCAGATGATTTGCTGTAAGATCATACAAGAGGATAACAACACTCCCATTATACAATGGCAGACATAAAGAACTTAAAAGTGCTTAAAACCCATTCCCTTTGGCAAAAGGACTAGTTGGCAAGCACTGAATAATAGTTAACTGCAAAACTAAGAGTAAAACAAAAGTGGGAATAGGAATGACAAGAGAATAATACAACAAACAAAATGGGAGGAAAAAGGAGAACAGCAGAAAAATCTCACTGATTCATTTTATGTAATAGCTACAAGTGAAAGGATATCATGTAAAGCTGACAAATCAAGTAGCAAAGAGTTGAGCATCTTCAAAAGTATAAAGGGTAAACATTAAGGAAGATTGTATGACTAAAGCTGAACAGGGGAAGGAAGGGAGGAGATGGAGGAAGAAAAGTTATAAGCTAGTCTTTTTTTGTTCATAGAAAGTAGCAATAGGATTGTCTAAAGAAAAAGGGAACTAAGTGTGTTAAAGGTAACCACTAGAACAATATTCCATTGTATGGATGTACCACAGTTGTTTATCCATTCACCTATTGAAGGACATTTTGGTTTTTCTTAAGTTTTGGCAGTGATATAGCAGTGGATAAAGCTGCTATAAACACTCATGTGCATGGTTTTGTATGGACAGGTTTCAACTCTGGTTAAATGCCAAGGATTGCTGGACTGTATGGTAAGAGTATGTATGTTTTGTTTTGTAGGAAACTGTTAAGACTATCTTTTCAAGTGGTCACACCATTTAGCATTCCCTCCAACAATGAAAGAGAGTTTCTGTTGCTCCACATCCTCACCAGCATTTGGTGTTGTCTGTGTTTTGAATTTTAGCTGTTCTAATATGTATGTAGTGGTGTTTCATTGTTGTTTTAACTTGTGATTCTCTAATGACATGATATTTAACATCTTTTCATATATTTATTTGTCATCAGTATATCTTCTTTAATGCAGTGTCTCTTCAGGTCTTTTGCCAATTTTAAAATTGACTTGTTATTGTTGAGTTTAAAAAAATATTTTGGATAACAAGCCTTTATCATCTTGTTTTAGTGTGGAACATTTGTTACAATTGATAAACCTACACTGACCCATCATGATTACTGAAATTCCATAATTTTCACTGGGCTTCACTCTTTGTGTTGTACATTCTGTGGGTTTGGACAAATGTGTAATGATATATATAATGACATGTATCTACTAGTACAGTATTACACAGGATAATTTCACCGCCCTAAAAACGCTCTGTGCTCCATATACTCATCCACACCCCTCCCTCCCCTTGAGCCCCTGGCAACCCCTGAACTTTTGACTGTCTCCATAGTTTTGCCTTTTTCAGAATGTCATATAGCTGAAATAATACATTATGTAGCCTTTTTAAATTGGCTTCTTTCACTTATCAATATGTATTTTAATTTTCTTCCATTTATTTTCATGACTTGATGGCTGGCTCCTCCCTCCCTCCCTCCCTCCCTCCCTCCCTCCCTCCCTTCCTTCCTTCCTGCTTTCCTCCTTTTCTCCCTTCTTTCCTTTACCACATTTGGCCCCTTGTGATATGGTGTGCCCCCCACTTCTCTGGGAATTGTAACAAACTATCTTTTCAATGGCAGTAATTTCCTGATCTGTTGGATTTACCATACCTAAAAATAATAAAACCAATTAAAACATTATCTACTGTGTGTGTCAGGCACAGTTCTAGGTCCTGGAGATCCAGCACTGAGCTGGCTGAAATCTCTGCTGTCATGGGGCTTACATTCTTTCTTGCAAAGCCCTTAGAGAAAACTCTAGTGGGTCATTTGCTATGGGATGAAGCAGGTGGAAGAGTCAGCAGGTGAATAGGTTCCCTGTTCTCTCAGCATTTTGAGGAGGGGGTTAAGAAGGCTCCCTCTTCCTATTGCTGTGACTTTTAGAAGGCAAGTGTGGGTGGCTTTGTGGCCTTGACAGTCTGAGTTTGAGTGCTAATCATTTACAGCAATACCTTGGAAAACATGAAGCCCAGCATCTAGAGACCTTGGAATATACTGAGATCAGGCATAACTTTTCTTACCTGGAGGAGAGGTTGGATAGCCAATAGTCACTAGGGAAGTTGAGTTCTGTCTGGAGTGGCATGTCCTGCTGGGAGAAAGAGGATGATGATCTTCCCAGCCCTCCAAGCTAGCCTCTTGCCAGGCAACTGGAAGGAGCTCCCCAGGTAATTCACCAGACAATCCTGCTTGTCTCCCACATTCTTATAGTTACTGAGAATGTGTTTAGCACAGTTCCTGGAACTGGAATACTCCCTAAAAATGTGAGTTACTTCAGTTATTGTCATCTCTTCTACAATAATGTGCAGAAGCAGGCACCTACACCCAAGAATAAGGATGTGAGAAGGAAGGAGACCCATGCTCCTGGGACTTATGCCTGGAATTATGACTTATGTTATATGACTATAACATGACATACCATCTACTATACTTTCCCTCTTTAATTTTAGCAGAGAATTTTTACCAGGTGCTACTAGGTGCTACCCTGAGACACGTAATATATCTTGCTCACCCTGTCATCAGCCAAAGTCTGTGGAATACAGGCTGTGTGTAACCAATGGTGTGTATTATCTCCTCTGTGTTACAGAAATATTGTGGGAGGAAGGGTACTCAGCTGGCTAAATTCTGCAGCAACAGGCAGTAGGAAACATACTCCACTTTCATCTGAAGAAGCTCAGTAATACTTTTTTTAATATATTTTATTTTTTAGAGCTGTTTGGGGTTCACAGAAAAACTGAGCAGAAAGCACAGAGAGTTCCCATATACCCCCTGTCCCCATCCCCAGACTTCCCTACTCTCAATATCCCTTACCAGAGGGTGCATTTGCTACAATTATGAACCTACATTGACCCATCATGGTCACCCACAGTCCATAGTTTTCAGTAGACTTCACTTGTTGTGTTGTAAGTTCTATGGGTTTTGACAAATGATATAAGTTCACCATTACAGGGTGGCCTCACTGCCCTAAAAATGCTCTGTCTTCCACCTACTCATCCCTCTTCCCTGACCTCCACCCCTTGGCAACTACTGATCTTTTTGCTGTCTCCATAGCTTTGCCTTTTCCAGGATGTCATATACTTGGAATCATATAGTATGAATCATTTTCAGATTGGCTTCTTTCACTTAGTAATATGCATTTAAGTTTCCTCCATGCCTTTTAATGGCTGGTTAGCTCATTTCTTTTTATTGCTAAATAACATTCCATTGTATGGATGAATCACAGTTTATCTGTTCCTCTACTGAAGGACATCTTGGTTTCCTTCTTCAAGTTTGGTGTTTATGAATAATATTGTGCAAAGTTTTGTGTGGATATGTTTTCAGCTCATTTGGTTAAATACCAAAGAGTGTGATGGCTGGACCATATGATAAGAGTATGGTTAGTTTTTGTAAGAATTTGCCAAACTGTCTTCCAAAGTGGCTGTACCATTTTGCATTCCCAACAGCAACAAAAAAGGGTTCCTGTTGCTCCACACCCTTGTCAGCATTTGGTGTTGCCAGAGTTTTGGATTTTGGCCATTCCAATAGGTGTGTAGTGGTCTGTCATTGTTGTTTTAACTTGCAATTCTTAATGACATATGATGCTAAGCATCTTTTCATATGCTTATTTGCCATCTGTATATCTTCTTTTGCCTATTCAGATGTTTTGCCCATTTTCAAGTTGAGTTGTTTGTTTTCTTATTACTGAGTTTTAAAGTCTTTTAAAATTTTGGATAACAGTCCTTTATGACGTATGAGTTTTGCAAATATTTTGTCCAAGTTAGTAGCTCGTCTTCTCATTCTCTTAAAGTGATACTTTTTAGAATCAATGAATGTGGTAGAGGTCTCACAGGAAGCCAGCTTGGGCAGCTGGGTGGGAGCAGCCTACTTGAAAAGGCTCCCATGGACAGGAAGCATGTATATTTGGTGGTGGTGGGACTGGTAAGGTTAAGCCCTGGGAGGGGATTTAAAGATAATGCAAATATCAGAGTAAATGCCTAAATAATAAGGAATTATAAATGATAAGAAATTAGGGAATTAGCATGAGGACTTGTGCTCAATAGGTGCCTAATACACACTTGTCGAATTATTGAATTAAAATGGACAATGAGACTGGCTCTTATAGAGGGCATTTGACACTACTTACTACATGACAGTCATAGATTTTAGAAACAGGGACTTTTAGAAATCTGTTGTGCAATCCCTTCAGGTTGTAGATGACAAAATGTGGTGAGTGTCAAGGTGAAGTTACTGAAACTCATAGATGCTGAATATAAGTAACTGGTTGGGCAACTTAAGTTTCATTTGTTTAGCTAATGCTTATTCCAAAAAACAAACAATGATATGATGTTTCTTCAATCGTCAAACATATGTTAGAAAACTTGAGCCTATTGTATTGACCCATATTTTTGCTTACTGCATTTTTCCTTATTTCATGATGTTCCTGAGTTCCTTCTTTTATTGTTTCCTTTCTGCTTTAAGAACTTCCTTTGGCTATTCAGTCAGGGTAGGTCTGATGGGGACAAATTCTTTTCATTTTCCTTAATGAAGCATGTCTTGATTTTCCCTCCATTCCTGAAGGATATTTTCAGTGGGTGTGTTGCAAAATAATGTCCTTCCCAAAGATGTCCACGTCGTACTGTCTGGAACCTGTGAATAGGTGAGGCCACATGGCAAAGAGAAATTACAGTTGAAGATGGAAGTTTCTAATTGGCCCACCTTATGTTCTTATTGTTGAGTTTTAAGAGTTCTTTTTATATTTTGGATAACAGTTCTTTATCACGTAGGAGTTTTGCAAATATTTTCTCCAAGTCAGTGGCTTGTCTTCTCATTGCTGCTATAAAAATTTTTCACAAACTAAGTGGCTTAAAAAAGTTATTACTGCATTCTCTTGGTGTGATAACTTTTTAGAATCAATGAATGTGGTAGAGGTCTTGGAGATTATCCTCCAGGATATGGAGAGAGAATGTAGAGATGATTCTGGATTATCCAAGTGGGCCCAATATGATCACTGAGGTCCTTATATGTGAGAGATGGAGGCGGCAGGGAGAGAACCAGAGGGATGACCATATTAGAGGGGCTTGGCCAGACATTTCTGGCTGAAGACAGAGGTAGGTGCCATGAACCAAAGAATCAGGTGGCCTCTAGAAGCTGGAAAAGACAAGAAAACAGATTTCTCCCTACTGCCTCCAGAAGGAGCATAGCTCTGCTGACTCCTCGGTTTTAGGGGTACCCACCTCGGTATTGGGGTGTCTTCTTACAGCCTCATGAGGGAGGAAGTCTAGACTCCCCTCTTGGCCATTGCTTGTTGTGTGGGTAGGGGCACAGTTTTAAATTTGGTGTTTAGCTCGAATGGAGTGGTTATTGTCTAGAAGTTTCTGTCTTGGTAGGCTGCCCCTCTTCTTGTCCTTTGGTTAGAAAGAGCAGGCTTTTATTGGAGCTTATTTTGTCTGGGCATGTTGGTGTTTCTGGGTTGCTGGCCTCTTTAGCACTCAGTATGAGATATGTGAGGCAAAAAGGAAACCCATGGGACTCATTACCATGTTGTTTCTTGGGTCTTGTGGTCCCTAGCCAGTCTGCCTTCTTTTCTACACCTTTGAGAGTCTTCTTATGTTTGGTTTACATATAATGCTCAGGGTTTTAAGTTGTACTGAATGGAAGGAATAGAGAAAATTATGTCTACTCCATTTTTCCCAAGGCAGGATCTTTCTCCAAACACACACACACACACACACACACACACACACACACACACACACACACACACAGCTTATCTGTATATGCTATAGATATTTGGTGAAAAAACTCTGAAAAGGGAGCAAAACCACTCATTTGGGGAAATATTCCCAAGCAAAAAAATCTTGGTTTCCTTTTTCCTTCCTTCCTTCTTTTCTGTGTGGGGACAATCAAAGGTTTCCCAGCTGGATTTGGCAAGGGTGACATATTCTGAAACTTCTCTGGATTTCAAAGGTGGTAAGATTCTACTAGAAGCAGGATGCTATGGTCTGAATGTTTGTGTCTCCCTCATAGTTCATATGTTGAAATCCTAACCCCCAGTGTGATGGTATTAGGAGGCGGTTAGGAGGCTTTTGGGAGATGATTCGGTCATGAGGGCTCTGCCTCATGAATGGGATTAGTGTTGCTAGATCCCAGAGAGGTGGCTAGGCTGGCCCTTCCACCATGTGAAGATGCAGCAAGAAGGCACCATTTATGAGGAAGCAAGAACCTCACCAGACACTGAATCTGTGGGTGCTTTGATGGGACTTCTCAGCCTGCAGAACTGTGAGAAGTAAATATTTGTTGTTTATAAGCCATCCAGTCTAAGGTTTTTTTTTTTTTCCTTTTTTTTTTGTTTTTTTTTTGACATAGTCTTGCTCTGTCACCCAGGCTAGAATGCAATGGCACGATCTCGGCTCACTGCAACCTCCACTTCCTGGGTTCAAGCGATTCTCCTGCCTCAGCCTCCCAAGTAGCTGGGATTACAGGCACTTGCCACCATGCCTGGCTAATTTTTGTAGTTTTAGAGATGGGGTTTCACCATCTTGGCCAGGCTGGTCTCAAACTCTTGACCTCAGGTGATCCACCTGCCTCCGCCTCCCAAAGTGCTGGGATTACAGGCATGAGCCACGGTGCCCCAGCCCTCAGTCTAAGGTATTTTATTATAGCAGCCAGAACAGACTAAGACATAGGGGTGAAGACAGTGTGTACTACAGTCCTTGCAGCTATCTGGCAGCGTTCTCTACTGGGTGGCCAGGGATGGAGTTAAGATACTTTGTACCCAAACCTAGGTGCATAGTGCTGGGTATACCTCGGTATATCTAGATATCACTACTTTGAACACTTTTAAAGCAAATTAAGATTTCTTCAGGTCTTTTTAGATGGTCCTGGCTTCAAGATTTGCTGCATTTCATCACATATACTGTTTTCATCCTTTGCCAAGTTGTCTCTGCCAATGATGACTACTAGGGCTGCAAGGAGGGATGGGTAATTATAAGCAACAAGCCCTTCCAAATGTACATGTGTAAAGACTGTAACTTGATTTGCAATTTCCAGAGCATGGAAACTTCTATTACTCTGCATCTGATGTCATTAAAAAACTAAAGAATCAAATCAGATGGGGTCATCCCCCATTTCCTACCTGTCTTAGTTTGTTTTCTGTTGCTATAACTGAATATCACAGACTGAGTAATTTGTGAAAAATAGAGGTTTATTTAGATCATAGTTATGGAGGCTGGATAATTTATAAGGAATAGAGGTTTATTTAGTTCATGGTTCAAGAGTATGGTGCCACCATCTAATGAGGGCCTTCTTGCTACATCATAACATGGTGGAGGGCATCACATGGTGAAAGGGCAAGGGCAAGCAAGACAGAGAGAGCTTGCTTTTATAACAAACCCACTCCCATGATAGCAACATTAATCCACTCATGAGGGCAGAGGGGTTAAGTTTCTAGCACATTAGTATTTTGGGGACACATTGAAACCATAGTATTACCCCTCCTCCAAACAAGAGGAATGTAGACTTGAACACTTAGAAAATAAAGAAATTAGGCCAGGTGCAGTGGTTCACGCCTATAATCCCAGCACTTTTGGAGGCCGAGGCAGGTGGATCACCTGAGGTCAGGAGTTTGAGACCAGCCTGACCAACATGGAGAAACCCTATCTCTACTAAAAAATACAAAAATTAGCGGGGCATGGTGGTGCATGCCTGTAATCCCAGCTACTTGGGAGTCTAGGGCAGGAGAATCGCTTGAACCTGGAAGGTGGAGGTTGTGGTGAGCTGAGATTGTGCCATTGCACTCCAGCCTGGGCAACAACAACGAAACTCTGTCTCAAAAAAAAAAAAAAAAAAAAAAGAAATTCATTTATTCAAATGAATTTATTCAAAGAAAGTAGCTGTACCTAAATGAGATGATAGCTAGGTAAACTTGTAACTCATGGCTGGGCACAGTGGTTTACACCTGTAATCCCAGTACTTTGGGAAGCCAAGGTGGGTGGATCACTTGAGGCCAAAAGTTCAAACCAGCCTGGCCAATATGGTAAAACCCTGTTCTTTCCTTAAAAAAAAAAAAATACAAAAATTAGCCTGGTGTGGTGTGCATGCCTGTAATCCCAGCTACTTGGGAGGCTGAGGCACTAGAATTGCTTGAACCTGGGAGGTGGAGGTTGCAGTGAGCTGAGATCCTGCCACTGCACTCCAGCCTGGGAGATGGAGTGAGGCTCTGTCTCAAAAAAAAAAAGAGTTTTAACTCATGACTTGGATATCGTTACCAAGTGGAGGAAATGGCCTTAGGGATCCATGACACAGCAGGCAGAGCTCAGCTCTAAAACAGTGCTGAGAGTATTCATTTGTGACTCAGCCTTGTCTTGGGGATATGTCTATGTCTTGAGTCTTGGTCTCAAATCTCTGACTTTTAAGTATCTACACTGTAGTTCTAAATTTAACCCAGTAAACTTGACTTACCTGAGTCAGTAAATTTGCCTTGCAGAGATGTAAAAGTGACATTATAAGTTAAAATGTTTGATGTTTTAGAGAATCTGATGGATTAGCCTTTGATTTGGAAAGTAAAGTTTTAGACTTTGGCAACCCCCTTTGGGTCCCCTCCCGTTGTACAGGAGCTCTGTTTTCACTCTGTTAAATCTTGGAACTGCACACTCTTCTGGTCCATGTTTTTTCTGGCTCAAGCTGAGCTTTCGTCTGCCGTCCACCATTGCTGATCACCACTGTTGTAGACCTGCTGCTGACTTCCACCCCTCCGGATCTGGCAGGGTGTCCCTGCGCTTCTGATCCAGTGAGGTGCCTGTTGCTACTCCCGATCGGGCTAGAGGCTCGCCATTGTTCCTGCATGGCTAAGTGTCCAGATTTGTCCTAATCAAGCTGAACACTAGTTGCTGTGTTCCATGGTTCTCTTCCATGACCCATGGCTTCTAATAGAGCTATAACACTCACTGCATGGCTCAAGGTTCAATTCCTTGGAATTCGTGAGGCCAAGAACCCCAGGTCAGGGAACAAAAGGCTTGCTGCCATCTTGGGAGTGGCTTGCCACCATCTTGGGAGCTCTAAGAACAAAGACCCACCAGTAAGATTTGGTGGCCTATACGGGGATTCTCCAAAGCGGTGAGTAATATTGGACCACTTTTGCTTGCTGTTCTATCCTATCCTTCCTTAGAATCAGAGGAAAATACCAGGTACCTGTCAGCTGGTTAAAAACGATTAGCGTGGCTGCTGGACTTAAGACTCAGATGTGAGGCTTTCTGGGAAAAGGCTAACAACTCCCAACCCTTGTGGGTTGGGAGCATTGGTCTGCCTGGAACCAGCTTCCACTTTCACAATATTCCTGGGGGAAGTCGAGGGCTGACTAGAGGCAGAAAGGTGTCATCCTGAACTCCTGGCATTGGCCAGTCAAGATCATGGCACAGCCAGAAGTCTCTACTCAACAATCGCCCATGCATGTGCGACTACCTCTCCTTCTGACCCATACCTCCTGAGTTCTGATCACGACTTTCTTGAAAGTGTAGCCCCCAAATTCTCCTTACCTGTGAATCTACTGCCTTTGATCCCTGCCTCCTAGGTACAAATGCTTCAGACTTTTACTTCCTTTCCCAAGTATTAGAGCAAGTTGTATCTCCAAAGGGATCTAAGGGAGCTCTACGCTGCATCCTTAGGCACCTAGGCTATGAACCCAGGGAGTCTTGCCCCTGGTGTCCCTCCCAATTTAGGTATACAGCTGTCAACATAGGCAGTTATGTGGGACCCATTCCCCACCACCCTTGCCAGGGCCTTAAAACTGATGACCCAGTACTTTAACAACTGGAACTCGGTCTACAACAATATAATAGATCAGGATGAAAATGCATTAAGTAAATTAAGGGAAGGCACATATTCCTATAGTGGCAAATGGGGGCAATGAGCAAACGTCCTTCCGCTGTGTTCCCAAAATCCATCTACCAAGAGAGAAACTATCTCTCTCACAGCTTTGCCTAGTGATCCTATGTAAGTCAATACTACTGGAAAGACAACATAGCACCCAGAAGTTTATTTACTGGACTTTAGCATATAAAGCCAGCAAGTCCATCCTTTTCTCCTTGCTCCCCTTCTCATAGGAAAAAGGCACATAGGATAAACAGGATCCATCTGTCATATTTTGTACCCAAAAAGACTTAATCCGGGACAACAAAAAGTTTAAGATCAATAATTAGGGCATATTCCTACAAAGAAAAAGAAGGACAAAGGCCCCAGTGGTCAAAAACTCTATCTCAATCCTGACTCAAAAGGTTACCTACACCCTCTCTGAAATGAATTTGCATAGGAACTGTTATTTATGGGAATGCATTTTCATGGGGCAACTGGGTTGTTATGAAATACTCAGGAACACAGCCCAGCTCTAGAACTCACCCCTGAGTGCAAAGGCAATGTTGGGCATGCTAGTAAAGGACCCCTAGAATCCAGCAGCCCCGACCCCTTTCTTTGTGGTCAAGAAAGGTGGGAAAACAGGTGCAGGACTGCTACATTGGTGAGCATAACTAATCCGATAAGCAGAGGTCCATGGGTGGTTACGCACCCTGGAAAGGAATAAGCATTAAGACCACCGAGGATGCTCTAAAACTGATGCGATGCGCATTGGAAAATGACTCGGGGTGCTGGCATCCCTATGTTCTTTTTTCAGATGGGAAATGTTCCCCCCAAGGCAAAAATGCCCCTAAGATGTATTCTGGAGAATTGGGACCAATTTGACCCTCAAACACTAAGAAATAAATAACTTATATTCTTCTGCAGTACTGCCTGGCCATGATATCCTCTTCAAGAGGGAGAAACCTGGCCTCCTGAGGGAAGTATAAATTATAACACCATCTTATAGCTAGACCTCTTTTGTAGAAAAGAGGGCAAATGGAGTGAAGTGCCATATGTGCAAACTTTCTTTTCATTAAGAGATAACTTGCAGTTACGTAAAAAGTGTAATTTATGCCCTATAGGAAGCTCTCAGAATCTACCTCCCTACCCCAGCATTCCCCCGGCTCTTTCCCCAACTAATAAGGACCCCCCTTCACACAAACGGTCCAAAAGGAGATAGACAAAGGGGTAAACAATGAACCAAAGAGTGCCAATATTTCCCGATTATGCCCCCTCCAGGCAGTGGGAGGAGAATTTGGCCCAGTCAGAGTGCATGTACCTTTTTCCCTCTCAGATTTGAAGCAAATTAAAATAGACCTAGGTAAATTCTCAGATAACCCTGATGGCTATGTTGATGTTTTACAAGGGTTAGGACAATCCTTTGATCTGACATGGAGAGATATAATGTTACTGCTAGATCAGACACTAACCCCAAACAAGAGAAGTGCCGCCATAACTGTAGCCCGAGAGTTTGGCGATCTCTGGTATCTCAATCAGGTCAATGATAGTATGACAACAGAGGAAAGAGAACAATTCCCCACAGGCCAGTAGGCAGTTCCCAGTGTAGACCCTCATCAGGACGCAGAATCAGAACATGGAGATTGGTGCTGCAGACATTTGCTAACTTGCGTGCTAGAAGGACTAAGGAAAACTAGGAAGAAGCTGATGAACTATTCAATGATGTCTGCTATAACACAGGGAAAGGAAGAAAATCCTACTGTCTTTCTGGAGAGACTAAGGGAGGCATTGAGAAAGCATACCTCTCTGTCACCTGACTCTGTTGAAGGCCAACTAATCTTAAAGGATAAGTTTATCACTCAGTCAGCTGCAGACATTAGGAAAAAAAACTTCAAAATCTGCCTTAGGCCCAGAGCAAAACTTAGAAACCCTATTGAACTTGGCAACCTTGGTATTTTATAATAGAGATCAGGAGGAGCAGGCGGAATGGGACAAACGGGATTAAAAAAAGGCCACAGCTTTAGTCATGGCCTTCAAGCAAGCAGACTTTGGAGGCTCTGGAACAGAAAGGCTGGGTAAATTGAATGCTTGCTTCCAATGCGGTCTACAAGGGCACTTTAAAAAAGATTGTCCGAATAGAAATAAGCCACCCCCTTGTCCATGCCCCTTATGTCAAGGGAATGACTGGAAGTTCTGCTGCCCCAGGGAACGAAGGTCCTCTGAGTCAGAAGCCACTAACCAGATAGATGATCCAGCAGCAGAACTGTGTGCCCAGGGCAAGCACCAGCCCATGCCATCACCCTCACAGAGCCCCGGGTATGCTTGACCATTAAGGGCCAGGAGGTTAACTGTCTCCTGGACACTGGCACAGCCTTCTCAATCTTACTCTCCTGTCTCGGACAACTGTCTTCCAGATCTGTCACTATCTGAGGGGTCCTAGGAGAGGCAGTCACTAGATATTTCTCCCAGCCACTAAGTTGTGACTGGGGAACTTTACTCTTTTCACATGCCTTTCTAATTATGCCTGAAAGCCCCACTCCTTTGTTAGGGAGAGATATTCTAGCAAAAGCAGGGGCCATTATACACTTGAATATAGGAGAAGGAGCACCCATTTGTTGTCCCCTACTTGAGGAAGGAATTAATCCTGAAGTCTGGGCCACAGAAGGACAAATAGACAAGTGAAGAATGCCTGTCCTGTTCAACTTAAACTAAAGGATTCTGCCTCCTTCCCCTACCAAAGGCAGTACCCTCTTAGATCCACCCAGCTCTCTGATGGACAGCCCAACAAGCCCCAACTTGGACTTCAAAAGATCGTTAAGGACCTAAAAGCCCAAGGCCTAGTAAAACCATGCAATAGTCCCTGCAATACTCCAATTTTAGGAGTACAGAAACCCAATGGACAGTGGAGGTTAGTGCAAGATCTCAGGATTATCAGTGAGGCCGTTGTCCCTCTATACCCAGCTGTACCTAACCCTTATACTTTGCTTTCACAAATACCAGAGGAAGCAGAGTGGTTTACAGTCCTGGATCTTAAGGATGCCTTTTTCTGCATCCCCGTACATCCCGACTCTCAATTCTTGTTTGCCTTTGAAGATCCTTTGAACCCAACATCTCAACTCACCTGGACTGCTTTACCCCAAGTGTTCAGGGATAGCCCCCATCTATTTGACCAGGCATTAGCACAAGACTTGAGCCAGTTCTCATACTTGGACACTCTTGCCCTTTGGTATGTGGATGATTTACTTTTAGCAGCCCGTTCAGAAACCTTGTGCCATCGAGTTACCCAAGCGCTCTTAAACTTCCTCGCCACCTGTGGCTACAAGGTTTCCAAACCAAAGGCTCAGTTCTGCTTACAGCAGGTTAAATACTTAGGGCTAAAATTATCCAAAGGCACCAGGGCCCTCAGTGAGGAACGTATCCAGCCAATACTGGCTTATCTTTATCCCCAAACCCTACTAACTGTTGGATGTGCCTCCCCCTGCACTTCAGGCCATACATTTCAATCCCTGTATCTTTAACCTCCTTGTTAAGTTTGTCTCTTCCAGAATCAAAGCTGTAAAAACTACAAATGGCTCTTCAAATGGAGCCCCAGATGCAGTCCATGACTAAGATCTACTACAGACCCCTGGACCTGCTAGGCCATGCTCTGATGTTGATGACATCAAAGGCACCCCTGCTGAGGAAATCTCAACTGCATGACCTACTATGCCCCAATTCAGCAGGAAGCAGTTAAAGCAGTCGTTGGCCAACCTCCCCAACAGCACTTGGGTTTTCCTGTTGAGAGGGGGGACTGAGAGACAGGACTAGCTGGATTTCCTAGGCCAACTAAGCATTCCTAAGCCCAGCTGGGGAAGATGACTGTACTCACATTTAAACAGGGTGCTTGTAACTCAGCTCACACCTGACCAATCAGGTAGTAAAGAGAGCTCACTAAAACACCAATTAGGCTAAAAGCAGGAGGTAAAGAAATAGTCAATCATCTATTGCCTGAGAGCACAGGGGGAGGGACAATGATCGGGATATAAACCCAGGCATTTGAGCTGGCAGTGGCAACCCCCTTTGGGTCCCCTCCCGTTGTATGGGAGCTCTGTTTTCACTCTATTAAATCTTGCAACAGCAAAAAAAAAAAAAAGAAAAGAAAAGAGTTTTAGACATATGACTTTAAGAGGATTAAGAAAATTGAATAAATGTTTATAAGTTTGATTTATTAAAGGGTTGAATAAAAGTTCAGAAAGGTTTTGCCTAGTAGTGTTGTTTGCCCTGTCAGGTATTTAAAATATGAATATTAAATGTCACATAGTTAAAAATATTAGGAAATTTGTCTTTTATTTCTAAAAAGCAGAAGTACAGCACAGTGTTTAAGAGCATGGACTCTGGAATAAGACTGTGTAGGTCAAAGATCCACAAACTATGGCCTGGTCCCTGTTTTTCCATAGTCTGCAAGCTAAGAAGTATTTGACGTTTTTTGGCTGGGCACGGTGGGTCACATCTGTAATCCCAGCACTTCAGGAGGCCAAGGGGGGTGGATCATCTGAAGTCAGGTGTTTGAGACCAGCCTGACCAACATGGTGAAACCCCATCTCTACTAAAAATACGAAAATTAGCTGGGCATGGTGGCATGTGCCTGTAGTCCCAGCTACTCGGGAGGCTGAGGCAGGAGAATCACTTGAACCTAGGAGGTAGAGGTTGTAGTGAGCCGAGATTGCGCCACTGCATGCCGGCCTGGGTGACAGAACAAGACTGTCTCAAAACAAATAAGTATTTGACATTTTTAAATAGTTGGAAAAACATCAAAAGAAGAAGAATATTTTGTAACATGAAAATTATATAAAATTCACATTTCAGTCCCCATAAAAAGCATTACTGGAATACAGCCATGCTCATTTGTTTAGGTGTGGCCTATGTCTGCTTTTGTGCTCCAACAGCAGGGTTGAGTCACTGTGACAGAGACTGCATGGACTACAAAGCCAAAAATATTGACCATTGAGCCCTTTACAGTTTGGTGACCGTGGTCTGGGTTCAAATCCCAGCTCTGCTATTTATTAGTATGACCTTGTGCAAGTCACTCAACTTCTCTGTGCCTCAGTTTCCTCTTTTGTAAAATGGGGGATAATAGTTATTATTAATAACTATTAGGAGGATTAAATAAATCAATAGTTGAAAAGTGCTTGAAACAATGCCTGGCACACAGTCAATGCAATGTGTGTCTAAACATCTATTGAACTTGAATTCGTCAAACATTAAAGAATAAGTAAAAATTATTTTTATTTTATAAAAATTACTACTTTTATGAATAGAACAAGAATTTAAAGTTGAACCTGGATTAACAAAATCTAGGGTTTCAAATCTAGAGCTTCAGTAAATTAAATATTAAACACCAAAGTCACTCTATTAGCCCTTTCCCAGCACCTCTGGCTGGGACTGTGGACCAAGTTCTGTGAATGATTCTATGGCCTAGGAGATCAAAGATCTCCATGGTTTATCAGTAAGTCTTCTCTAAGACTGGGAAGTAGGTGCCTAGAGTTATGCCTGGATTAAATTTTGACTTCCTAGCCATCTGATTTTGCACAAGTCTTATCTGTAAAGTGGGTCTACTAATATCTATTTAATAGGGGTATTAAGAAGATTAAAAACATTGAGATACATAAAGTGTTTTACACAACACCTGGATTTTAGTAAACATCAGTTATTATTATTAGCATTCTTCCAAGATCTGCACACAAAGTGAGTTACGGCTAATCAGTTGATAAACTCCTAGCAGAGCAGAAGGTTATGTGTGTTGTGATGTTTAAGTGGTACTGGGAAACTCTGGTTGCCTTGAGGTTCTGAAATTCTACTGTATCAGATGGGTTCCTTTAAACATTGCTCTCTCTAGGGGGTCCTCTTTTTAAAAGTATGCACCTTCTGGAGGGCATCTCTTCATCCTTGTGTGGTTTAGTTTATCAGGTATTTTCCTCACGATGGCAGCCTGAGAACAGGGGACGCCCAAGGGCTGGGATTTGTGTGCTCCGGAAGAAAACGGGGTGTAGAAGTGGGGCCTCTGAAAGAGGGCGAAAAGGCAAGGAAAAGGAGAAATGTTGCACAGTCTTATGGTCTGTCCCCTGCCATTCTGTTCCCCTGAGGTGTCAGAGCAGCTTCTCTGTCTTCCCAGGGATGAGTTTACACAGACATTCCCTGTGGCCCCCTGAGGCCTCCACCTCTGAAATCTGCAGAACAGCCAGGAAACAAGCCCGGCCCATGGCGCCACCTGCTGCCTGCCTGCCTCCGCTCATGCACCCTGGGCTGGGATGGTACTTCTGTTCGTCTGGCATTATTGCCCTTGGTCATTTACCGGCAGCCCTGGGCCCCTCCTTGCTCTTCTCCATGACACTAGGACTCCCTTGGTCTTGAAGCTGGGTGAGATTATCAGGGTTTGTTTCTCAATGACTTTGAGGTTTGACAGCAGAGCACACTCTTTGGCAGATGAGGGGGCTTGAGGCTTAGTCTTATTCCGTGATTAAAAGCATTTCTTGTATGTTTGTCCTTTCCCAGCCTGGAGTGATGGGAATAAGGCCACTATGTTGACTTAGCGGAAGGAAGGGCTGACTCACTGTTCACCTTCCCTGTACGTTACCAGCTCGAGGTCTCAGGATGCGTTGGACCCTATTTTGGTCTCCGGAATTTGTCATCATGCAGTGCTATTTTCCCCATTATGCAGAGGTGGAGAGGGATTAAGGCGGGGGCGGGCCCCTGTCTCCATGGAGACAGTGACGCTACCCCGCTAGGGGTTATTTGGAAGCGGGGCAGGCCTAGGAGGCTGAAGAAGGCTTCGGACTGGACTCCCCAGCCCCTGGTGTTAGGGCTTTTCTCTTTCTTGGGCTTGGGAACATTAGCCAGCCCCATTTTAGAGGGGAAAACTGAGGCTCAGAAAGGGCACTGAATCCCCTTAGGTCACAATGCGCCCAAGGGAAGAGGCAGGATCGACTGAGCCTAGGATCTCGCGTCTTCGGCTTTCCCCCAGAGCCTGGGAAGCCCTTCTTAGCTCCACTCTTCTTTGAGCTTTCCGTCAAACAAATCCTAGGGCCCGTGGCCTTTTCGAGCGCTCCTAAAGGCGACTCTCCAAGACCCGCTCTCTAAGGTGCTCTTCCCCTTTAAGACTCACGGCTCTTCCCGTCAGGCTGCGTCGCAGTCTTAAGGCCCCGCCTTTTCAGACAGCTTCCGCTGGGCCTGGGCCGCTGCGGGGCGGTCACGGCCCCTTTAAGCCTGAGCCCCGCCCCCTGGCTCCCCGCCCCCTCTTCTCCCCTCCCCCAAGCCAGCACCTGGTGCCCCGGCGGGTCGTGCGGCGCGGCGCTCCGCGGTGAGCGCCTGACCCCGAGGGGGCCCGGGGCCGCGTCCCTGGGCCCTCCCCACCCTTGCGGTGGCCTCGCGGGTCCCAGGGGCGGGGCTGGAGCGGCAGCAGGGCCGGGGAGATGGGCGGTGGGGAGCGCGGGAGGGACCGGGCCGAGCCGGGGGAAGGGCTCCGGTGACTTAAGGGGAGGGAATGCTCCTCTGCCGTGCTCACCGCGTGCTGGGGCTGCGCGGGGCTAGGTATGGTCGGGCTGTTTTCCCACTGTCCCTTCTTCGGGCAGTGTCGCCGTCCAGCCTGGTTGTTGAAGCGTCCCCGTGGTCCCCCGGGGTCCAGGCCCCTTTGTGGAGGCAGCTGCTGGCCCCCAGCCCATGGGACCGTAGTCGCGGAGGCCTCTGCAGAGGCGCAGGCTGGAAGCGGTGGCCTTTGAGGGGGGCGGCAGGAGAGAGTACCGACCTCCCTCGAACTCCTGGCAGAGGTGGGGGTCGCAGCAAAAGCACTGGGGTGGAGGGCGGCCAGTGTGGGGCAGACGCCTGTGTGCCTTCCTCAGATACGGGCAGAGTTGTGGATGTGAGAAGGGTCTGGCTTGGGTACCTCAGTTCCAAACCTCCTGTGTCCATCAGAGAGCTGGCGGTCACCATGGCAATGCGGGAGCTGGTGGAGGCCGAATGCGGGGGTGCCAACCCGCTCATGAAGCTCGCCGGGCACTTCACCCAGGACAAGGCCCTTCGGCAGGAGGGATTGAGGCCTGGCCCCTGGCCCCCCGGAGCCCCGGCCTCTGAGGCAGTGAGTGTTCTTGAGGTGGAAAGCCCAGGTGCAGCCTCTGAGGCAGTGAGTGTTCTTGAGGTGGAAAGCCCAGGTGCAGCCTCTGAGGCAGTGAGTGTTCTTGAGGTGGAAAGCCCAGGTGGTGGTGGTCTGAGGTGGAGGGGCTGTTTGCACATCTTGGTATAACTGCTTTCTCTATTGTGTTGCAAATCATAGTAGTTACCACTTACTGAGCGTTTATAAACACTAGAAAACCCTGTGCACCTTTAAATAAATGCAACCATTTTATAGATGAAGAAGCCGAGGCTCAGATGCCTATGGGCTTCATCAACCCCTGATTTTAGAGGAACTGCGTCATTGTACATCTCTGTCTTTCTCTCTTAGGCCTCCAAGCCTTTGGGAGTAGCTTCTGAAGATGAGGTAAATAGACCAGTCTCTTTTCTGTCCCATTTTTCTCTTGCCCACTGTGTTTTTACCTTTAAACTTAGTTCACCCGTATTTCAATTTTTGGGCTTTCCTGACCGAATGAGAATGCCTGCTTGTTTTTAAATGTATTTTTTCGTCCTTCTAAATCTATGGAAAGACAGTTTCTCTTTATGTGTCTCCAGTTTCTGTGTTTTCCTTTCCTTGTATCTAACATTGGGATCCCCCTCCAGTGGGTCCTGCCTCTTGCTGGGGCCTCCCAAGCCTATGGGTTCATTTCATCATTTCCCTTCTGGCAGTTGGTGGCTGAATTCCTGCAGGACCAGAATGCACCCCTTGTGTCCCGTGCCCCTCAGACCTTCAAGATGGATGACCTCCTGGCTGAGATGCAGCAGATTGAGCAGTCAAACTTCCGCCAGGCTCCCCAGAGAGGTGAGTCCAGAGTCTAGTGGGAGGGGAGATCGTTTTCCATGTAGCCAGGGCCAAGGAAGGGGGTTCCATTGGATGCTGCTGGCATTGGGGACCTGAGATGCAGAAGGAGACAAAAGTAACAGAGTGTTTTCACGTGGATTCAGGGTTCTTTAGGCATGATGGAATGGTATGTATGTATTCTTTCTTAGTTTTCTCTCTCTCTCTTTTAAGCCCCTGGTGTGGCAGACTTGGCCTTGTCTGAGAACTGGGCCCAGGAGTTTCTTGCAGCTGGAGATGCTGTGGATGTAACTCAGGATTATAATGAGACTGACTGGTCCCAAGAATTCATCTCTGAAGTTACAGGTGAAACTTGTTATGGGAAAATCTATATTGGCTTCTATGGGACAGAATTCTATACCCTTCCCCTGTTCACGTTATAGTGTGATTACGATTTTTCTGGTCTCATGACTCATTTCTAGAGGGGTAGGGTACTGAACTCAATTTCCCTTAGGTGATAACGGAATGTAATGTATATTAAAGAGAGGACTGGGTTTGTACTGGATAAGAGATTTTGGATAGAGAGAACGAAGAGTTTGGTTGGCCTTTTTACTTTATCACTGTGGTTTAGTGGAGAGGATCTACAGATTGGATGGATGGCAGTGTTGCCGAGGAAGAGAGTATTCACTACAGCACCTGGGATTCTGGCCTTAAGTTATTTGGAACAGAATTGGGGCCTTCAGAGTGTTATTGTGAAGTTCCAGTGCCTGAAGTGTATGGCTTTAGAAGGTAAAGACCATACCATGATGATGATAATAAAAATTAATAACAATAGTTACGTTCTAGGCCTTGTGTTACATGCTTTGAATGCATTATCTACTTACTCTCCATGAGAACCCTAGAGGTAGTTACTGTTTTTAGACCTAGTTTAAAGATAAGAAAATTGAGGCTTAGAGGTGAAGTGTGCCCAAGGTTACACAGCTTTGTCAGTGGTAGAGTTGGGATTTGATCCTGGATTTGAATGATTCCTGACCCTGTGGCCTTAACTGTGATGCTATACTGTCAGGCCTGCAATTTATCTTCTTTCTTGCTTTGCTACAGACTTAAAGGTTTCAGCCTAATTTTTCCTCTTTGAAAGCATCCATTGCTCCTGCATCTTTTATGATTGATTCTTCTTGCCCTAAGCCTATCTAATCAGGTACATGGTGGGAAGGGCAGTCTCTTCAGCTTTCCTCTTCCTGATTGCTCTCAAAAGTTAGCCTTTTTCCTGTTTAAGATATCAAGAATAACAAGAGATACACATAGAGAAAGTTACCAAGTTCCAGGATCTCGGGGAGTCACATCATCATGGTTCCTGAATTTTTCTGAGATGATTAAAGGGACTGAATTGGTTTCTACCCCCACCATTTTAATTTATGTTCTTTCTTCGTTTGCTACAGATTTCAAGGTCTCAAGTCTAATTTTCCTTGAGAGCATCCATTGCTCCTCGCATCCTTTAGGATTGATTCTTCTTACCCGAAGCCTATCTGATCAGGGACAAATGTGTGTGAAGGAGGCCCATGTTTAGGATGGGCTTCTCCGCACACAAGAGAAAAATCCCAAATCTAAAAACTAAAACTCACCTTTAATAAGATCTGTGGGTCTCTTTTATCACGTGTCTCTTTCCCACCCATAAGTTGGAGTTAAGGTAGAACAGTAGGTGCTCTTGGCTTTAAGAGTGCTAATCACTTTATCTTCTTAAGCTCATTAGAACTTCACAGTAACAGTAACACAAGGTGGATATCCCACCCCCATTTTATAGATGAGGAGACTGAGATTTGGAAAAGTTAAATACTTTGTGCAAAATCATTGAATAATAGAGATGATATTCAAACTCATGTCTGTGTGGCTCTTGAGATTCTTTTTTTTTTTTTTTTTTTGAGACAGGGTCTTGCTCTCACCCAGGGTGGAGTGCAGCGGTGCAATCTGTACGCACTGCAACCTCTGCCTCCTGGCTTCAAGGGATTCTCCCGTTTCAGCCTCCTGAGTAGCTGGGACTACAGGCGTGTGCCACCATGCCCGGCTAATTTTGGTATTTTTAGTAGAGACAGGGTTTCACCATGTTGGCCAGGCTGGTCTTGAACTCCTGACCTTAAGTAATCCACCACAGCCTCCCAAAGTGCTGGGATTACAAGCGTGAGCCACCGCACGCGCCCTCACGTTGAGATTCTTTGTGAAATTGCCGCAAGTTAAAATCTGAACCATAGCAAAGACCCTCTCCAAGACAGAAACTCAGTTTTTCACATAAACCTTAGACTTAAGTGCTATCTCTTATCACAGAGAGGCTTCTGTTGTAATGTGGGCATTAGTCATTTTTGATAATTCAGAAAAATCATTGCTACTATGAGCGTTGAGATGGATGAAATTTTTGCTGTAATTACCTGAATTGCATGCAGCCATTGAAATCTTCCTTAACTTGAAATGAAAAAGAACTTTAGAAAAACATGTTTTATCTGTCTCACCAGTTAAATGCTCTTAGTAGAGCTCTTCTAGTATTTTGTAGATTCTTTTGGAATCGTGCCTGTTTCACAGAGGCAGAGACATGCAAACCTTAGAATGGGAGTTGAGCTGTTTGAAGTCTGCCTTCATAAAAATGTCTTATTGCAGCAGTATATTGCTTTGCATGTAGTAGGCCTCTGGTATTGAATGAATGAATTGAGATCTGGGAGAAAAAGCTAAAGGAAAGGAGTTCATTTTGTCGTAACTGACTTTTTTTTATTATCCTTCATTTTTAATTACAGCATTTGTGGTTGATACAATTGTATGGGTTAGCTATGGCTTTATAGATAAGTAGATTTTGAGATGAAAGAAGGTTATACTTTTTAAGTTCTTATTTTAAAATCTCCACTGTTAAGAGTCAAAATCAAGTTTAAAAAGAATGTTGCAGCTCAATTATTTAAATTTAAATTTTTTATTTGGAAGTACTTAGTTTCACTGGAAGTTGAAAAAAAAAATGTATAGGAAGGTTCTGTATACCCTTCACCCAGTCTCCTCCAGTGGTAACATTTTACATAGCAGTTATGCAGAGATCAAAAATCAAGAAGTTGCCCTTGTTTCAATCCTCAGAGTTTATTAGGTTTCACCAGTTTTACATGCCCTTATTTGTGTGTGTGTGTTTTTTGCAATTTTATTAAATGTGTAGATTTGTGTAAGCACCATCATGATCAAGATACAGAACTATTCTCTCACCACATGAAGTTCATTTTTTTAGCTTACCTTATTTTGTAATGGAATCCCCCCGTCTTAAATCTTCTGGGTCAAATAATTCTCCATCTTGTGTTTGCTCAGATCTAGAGATAAAACACATCTTCAGGGTTCTTAAATTTAGACAGCTTCGGTTGACATGGTATGTGAGGTTCATATGATAATCGTGAGAGATAAACCTGCACTTTCATGGGAAAAGCCATGGATAGCAGTAGCAGAAGATAATTGGCAACAGATCTTTTCTGGATGTTGGAGGAGAGGCTTTGGAATAACAGTCTCATTGTGATGTTTTCTGCTTTTGTTATAGGTTTGCCATGAGCAGACTAATGATAATAACTAACATTTGTTACTGTATTCATTGGTTTTCACCGCAGCCCCTACTGTTATCTCTGCTTTAAAGATAAGGACATGGAAACTTAAGAAGGTTGAGTAACTAGTCTGAAGATGCACAGTGAATAAGTGATGGAGTTAGGATTTAAATGTGGGTAGACTGACCCTACAACTTGTATTCTTCTCCACAGTGCTGCTATTTAGCAGACACAGAAACTTTCATGAGTAAGAGTAGCAAGTTCTGAGTTTTTGACTTTTGAGCTTGGGGAAGATGTGCCTAGAAGGAATGAGTAAACAACGAGAAATTATATGAGGTGCACATTTTGAGTGGGGTATTTGGTGTCTAGGTTATTCTCACTCTACTAATCTGTATGACCTCAGGCAGTGCATCCCCTCTGTAGACCTTAGTTGCCTTGATCTCAGATGTATCCACATGGATCTGATTTTCTGTAGGAATTTCTCAAAGATTGTGAAGGCAGTGTGTTACTCTTTTGATTCTTTCGGTTATTTGACTCTTGTTGGAGTAGGTTCCCAATGCCAAGAAATTCTGGGTCTTGTGGCGATTTAATCTGGCCAACTACCAAATTATAGGTATTTGAGGATAGTTTTTCTCAGCTCTGGGATTTTTTTTCTTAAACTGCCTCATATCTATTGTTAAGTCCTCATGTCTGTTGTAAAAATTCAAAGGTGCTTTGTGTTTTTTCTGTTTTTTTTTTTTTGTCCTTGAGAGGACCATTTCATAGGAATTTGAAATGTTTTCTGTGAATTTGAGGAGCACTTATGGCCAGAATATGCTTTTGCAAAATACTCTAGTTGAGAGTTAGAAGTGTTTGGAGAGTTGAGGAGGTAGTAGTTATTTTTCAACAGAATGGAGCTAAGAATTTCAACTAAGAATGGAACTAAGGAACTAGGAGATCTTAAAGTCTCTTTGAGTATTAAGCATCTCCTTTCCGTCTCCACACTTGAGGCAACAGTCTAATTGGGGCAAATGGAAGAGAAATGCTTCCTGTAAGAGCTAGTGAGCAGAATCTGTATTTAATTTTTGAGAGTCCTTGAAATTAACAGATGGATCTATGGTCAAAAAAAATTGCCAACCATATTTCTTATTACATTATACATTATATATTATATATATTATATATACATTTTACATTATATATAATGTATATATAATGTATTTCTTATGTTATAACGTATTTCTTATTACATTATGTTATATATAATGTATTTCTTATTACATATGTTACATATAATGTATTTATTACATTATATATTATATATAATGTAATATATGTTATGTAATAATTATATATGTCATATATAATTTAATTATATGTCATATTTAATTATATATGTCATAATTTATATATGTCATATATAATTTAATTATATGTCATATATAATTTAATTATATATGTCATAATTTATATATGTCATATATAATTTAATTATATATGACATATATAATGTAATAATTATGTGTCATACATATATGTGTCATATATAATGTAATAATTATATGTGCCATATATAATGTAATAATTATGTGTCATATATAATGTAATAATTACATCATATATAATGTAATAATTATATATGTCACATATAATGTAATAATTATATATGTCACATATAATGTAATAATTATATATGTCACATATAATGTAATAATTATATATGTCACATAATGTAATAATTATATATGTCACATATAATGTAATAATTATATATGTCACATATAATGTAATAATTATATATGTCACATATAATGTAATAATTATATATGTCACATATAATGTAATAATTATATATGTCACATATAATGTAATAATTATATATGTCACATATAATGTAATAATTATATATGTCACATATAATGTAATAATTATATATGTCACATAATGTAATAATTATATATGTCACATATAATGTAATAATTATATATGTCACATATAATGTAATAATTATATATGTCACATATAATGTAATAATTATATATGTCACATATAATGTAATAATTATATGTCACATATAATGTAATAATTATATGTCACATATAATGTAATAATTATATATGTCACATATAATGTAATAATTATATATGTCACATATAATGTAATTATATATGTCACATATAATGTAATTATATATGTCACATATAATGTAATTATATATGTCACATATAATGTAATTATATATGTCATATAATGTAATAATATATGTCATATATAATGTAATAATTATATATGTCATATATAATGTAATTATATATGTCATATATAATGTAATTATATATGTCATATATAATGTAATTATATATGTCATATGTAATAATTATATGTCATATGTAATAATTATATATGTCATATATAATGTAATAATTATATATGTCATATATAATGTAATCATATGTCATATACAATGTAATAATTATATATGTCATATACAATGTAATAATTATATATGTCATATACAATGTAATAATTATATATATGTCATATACAATGTAATTATATGTCATATACAATGTAATTATGTTATATATAATGTAATAATTATATATGTTATATATAATATAATAATTATATATGTTATATATAATGTAATAATTATATGTTATATATAATGTAATTATATATGTTATATATAATATAATAAGTAGTAATTACTTATTATTTATAATTAGGTGTATTCTGAGAGTCTTGATCTTTGTTTTTCACATTTTGACATTTCATGCTCAGATTTTGAGACTACTTTGTTGACATTATTCAGGCAAAGTTTCAGTTAAAATGGAGTAGAAGTTTTTGTACTTTAATACCGAAGGGGTAGTAAAAGCAAGGGTGGTCAGATCTTGAAACTGGGGACAAAGACTGCTAGTATCAGCTAATATTTTCACACCCCTGCCCAAATGTCCCTCTTTAATGCAAATTGGAGTTAGTAGGTTCTCAACAAGAGAGTGGAGTTCCCCCTTGGGAACTGTCCTTGTCATGGGCCAGGAGTGGGGAATAGCAGGGGAAGGTGGTGGCAGACTAACTAGTAAGATTAGTTCTGGACACAGGGCAGAAGGAAAGAACACCGTAGGCTTGTGCCTTCTCTTTGTTTCCTTGTGTTCTTTAGTGCCCGCAGTCAGTCTCCTTGTTTTTTTTTTCTGGCCACAGGATAGTAAAGGGCAAAGTCCTGGAGGATGAAAAACAGTTCAGCACCCTCATTGAGTTTGTTGCCTTGATAGGTTAATTCTGATGTTGCAGCAGTCCCCTTTGTCACTAGAGCTTCTGAGACAGTTTCTAAAATTAGACTGAAAAAACATAGCTACTCAAAGATAATCAAAAGTGAGAAAAGTCAGAATAGTGTTTACTTCTGGGGGCTGGGAGACTGAGGGAGCCTGTGAGGGAACTGTAAACGTTCTGTATCTTGATCCGGGTGGTGGTTATGTGAGTGTATCAAATGTGGAAGTTAATTTAGCTGTACACTTAAGTTTGGTAGACATTATATGGTTTCATATTTGTATATTACATTTCAATTAAAAAATGAAAAAACCCACCAAACATCCATAGGGAAGAGCAGACCTATGTGTCTTTAATTCTAGCCTAGCATTCCACTTCTCTGATTCTCTTGGTAGGCAAATTACAATGAAATAAGGCTCCTTTGGCCGGGATTGTGTGAACTCTGGGTAGAGGGAGAACAGACCAGTGCCTTGGTTAAGGAACAGGAGCCCTTCTGTGCTCCCTTCACTCCTTACTGGCTCCCTGCTGTACTTCTGAGGAAAGTGAAAGCCCTTCCGCTTCCTATTTCTTATTGAAATATCTTGCACTTCAAGAAAAAGAGTTTGGTTCTTAATCCTTTCCTGAGATTCCTTATTTGATCTCCCGTTCCCAACTCTCAGTAAATTTCTGCCCCAGGCTCCTTGAGAATGGGTTGGATATTGAGGATGTTGAAAATTTAGTACTATATTCTTTTGACCAGGGGTTTCTGAGGGAGTCAGCAGAGTTTTGTCTGCTTTGGTGTGGCTAAGAGGGTCAGTTGAATATGGGCATCTCTTTCCCTTTCCTTGATCCCACACTGAATGAACCTGTGTGATTTCCCCACTTCTCTGCTCCTTGCAGACCCCTTGTCTGTGTCCCCTGCCCGCTGGGCTGAGGAATATTTGGAGCAATCAGAGGAGAAGCTGTGGCTGGGAGAACCTGAGGGAACAGCCACCGATCGCTGGTGAGTTCAGATACCTCTTTCCGAATCCCGTGAAAGGAGTATGGACAGTTTTCCCAGCCTCCTCCATCCACGTTCTCGAACCAACTTACTTTATTCTTTTTTTTTTTTTTTTTTATCATTCTTGGGTGTTTCTTGCAGAGGGGGATTTGGCAGGGTCATAGGACAATAGTGGAGGGAAGGTCAGCACATAAGCAAGTGAACAAAGGTCTCTGGTTTTCCTAGGCAGAGGACCCTGCGGCCTTCCGCAGTGTTTGTGTCCCTGGGTACTTGAGATTAGGGAGTGGTGATGACTCTTAAAGAGCATGCTGCCTTCAAGCATCTGTTTAACAAAGCACATCTTGCACCGCCCTTAATCCATTTAACCCTGAGTGAACACAGCACATGTTTCAGAGAGCACAGGGTTGGGGGTAAGGTCATAGATCAACAGGATCCCAAGGCAGAAGAATTTTTCTTAGTACAGAACAAAATGAAAAGTCTCCCATGTCTACTTCTTTCTACACAGACACAGCAACCATCGGATTTCTCAATCTTTTCCCCACCTTTCCCCCTTTTCTATTCCACAAAACCGCCATTGTCATCATGGCCCGTTCTCAATGAGCTATTGGGTACACCTCCCAGACGGGGTGGTGGCCAGGCAGAGGGGCTCCTCACTTCCCAGTAGGGGCGGCCGGGCAGAGGCGCCCCTCACCTTCTGGACGGGGCGGCTGGCCGGGCGGGGGGCTGACCCCCACCTCCCTCCCGGACGGGGCGGCTGGCCGGGCAGGGGGCTGACCCCCACCTCCCTCCCGGACGGGGCGGCTGGCCGGGCGGGGGGCTGACCCCCACCTCCCTCCTGGACGGGGCGGCTGGCCGGGCGGGGGGCTGACCCCCCGCCTCCCTCCCGGACGGGGCGGCTGGCCAGGCGGGGGGCTGACCCGCACCTCCCTCCCGGACGGGGCGGCTGGCCGGGCGGGGGGCTGACCCCCACCTCCCTCCCGGACGGGGTGGCTGCCGGGCGGAGACGCTCCTCACTTCCCAGACGGGGCGGCTGCCGGGCAGAGGGTCTCCTCACTTCTCAGACGGGGCGGCCGGGCAGAGACGCTCCTCACCTCCCAGACGGGGTCGCGGCCAGGCAGAGGCGCTCCTCACATCCCAGACGGGGCGGCGGGGCAGAGGCGCTCCTCACATCTCAGACGATGGGTGGTCGGGCAGAGACGCTCCTCACTTCCTCGATGGGATGGCGGCTGGGAAGAGGCGCTCCTCACTTCCTAGATGGGATGGCGGCCGGGCAGAGACGCTCCTCACTTTCCAGACTGGGCAGCCAGGCAGAGGGGCTCCTCACATCCCAGACGATGGGCGGCCAGGCAGAGACGCTCCTCACTTCCCAGATGGGGTGGCGGCCAGGCAGAGGCTGCAATCTCGGCACTTTGGGAGGCCAAGGCAGGCGGCTGGGAGGTGGAGGTTGTAGCGAGCCGAGATCACGCCACTGCACTCCAGCCTGGGCACCATTGAGCACTGAGTGAACGAGACTCCGTCTGCAATCCCGGCACCTCGGGAGGCCGAGGCTGGCGGATCACTCGCGGTTAGGAGCTGGAGACCAGCCCGGCCAACACAGCGAAACCCCGTCTCCACCAAAAAAATACGAAAACCAGTCAGGCATGGCGGCGCGTGCCTGCAATTGCAGGCACTCGGCAGGCTGAAGCAGGAGAATCAGGCAGGGAGGTTGCAGGGAGCCGAGATGGCAGCAGTACAGTCCAGCTTCGGCTCGGCATCAGAGGGAGACCGTGGAAAGAGAGGGGGAGAGAGACCGTAGGGAGAGGGAGAGGGAGAGGGAGAGGGCTTACTTTATTCTTTAAGATTTCCCCTTGGGTTATTACTCCTGTGAATTTATGGTTGAAATGTAGTCAAGGACACAGTGGTTGTGTGCCTGTACTCAGGAAGCTGAGGTGGGAGGATTGCTTGGGCCCAGGAGGTCAAGTCTAGCCCGAGGAACACAGTAAGACCTTGTCTTTAAAAAACCAAAAGCGCATGCATGTGTGCGTGCACACACACACACGCACACACATATATACACACATACACATATGTACACACGCATACATACACATACATGTGCACATACATGTATATACACACGTATACATATGTAAACATGTAGATACATGCGTACACATGTATACACACACATAGACATACATGTATACACACATACACATACACATGTATATACATACACACATACACGTATATATACATATCAGCTATATTTGGGAGGAAGGGAGTTTTCAGACTTTTAAAATATATGTATATAGGTAAATATATATATATTTTTCAAGAATCCTAACTATCCTATATGACGTTCATAACTTCATCTTAAAGTTCATAATTTTACCTTGTTCCCTTCTTAATTTTGAGCCTGCTACTATCCCATCTGTATGCAAAGATATGTTTGGGAAAGGGAGAGCTAGAAGGATGTAGCTAGTACTTTCACACTCCTGCCCAAATGTCCTTCTATAATGCAAATTGGAGTTTGTAGGTTCTCAACAGGAGAATGGAGTTCCCTCACAGGAACTGTCATTGTCATGGGCTAGGAGTGGGGAGTAGCATGGGGAGGGTGATGGCAGACTAATGTGTAAAATTAGTTCTTACCCGTTCCAGGTATGATGAATATCATCCTGAGGAGGATCTGCAGCACACGGCCAGTGACTTTGTGGCCAAAGTGGATGACCCCAAATTGGCTAATTCTGAGGTGAGCCACATCCCTCTGCTGCTTTGCCCAGCAGAGCTGGTTTTGGAAGGCAAGAATCTTGCTTTTCTTACCCCAGTTTAGTTTAAAGAGAAGGAGAAGAGATCTTAGGTCTCTTCGTTCCTGTCTATAGAACAGAGACTTAAGATCCTGCCTCTTCCTTCTAGTGTTCATTCCCTCATCTCCTTGCCTACTAACTCTTTTTTCTGATGCCTTTGCAAGTCTTTAGAGCCAGAAATCCCTTTCTTTTTGCTCTCTACCTCTTTTAGGGTCTTTAGCATATCTTGTCTGCAGCTAGAGATGGTCAGGGGAGGGGTGAGTACAGGGTCCTCTTGGGCATGGTTGAGAGTGCACACCTGGAAGTCCTTTCCCAAGTGGCCTGTGTGTGTCTCTGTGCCCCAGTTCCTGAAATTCGTGCGGCAGATTGGCGAAGGGCAGGTGTCCCTGGAGTCCGGTGCAGGGTCGGGCCGAGCTCAGGCAGAACAGTGGGCAGCAGAGTTTATACAGCAGCAGGTAGGACATTGTCACTTTCCAGTCCCACTTCAGAGCCAGCTGATGCCCCAGGCCATGGGTTCAGTGGTCAGTGGTCCCAGATGGGGAAGGATAAGACCAGCTTGTCTTGATAGCATCCAGGTCCCAAGTGGGTGGGAAAGAGATTCTGAGAATGATTTTCTCAGAAGTACCCAGGTTGGTGGTGGTTAGTGGGTATTTAGTGTGCGTCTGATGGATAGAAAGTTGGTGGTAGTGGTACTGACCATCCTTTTTTGTCGCAGGGTACATCAGATGCCTGGGTTGACCAGTTCACAAGACCAGTAAACACATCTGCCCTTGATATGGAGTTTGAACGAGCCAAGTCAGCTATAGAGGTGAGAGCAGATAGTGCAGGAGCAGACACCCCAAAAGAAAACACTCCTTGGAGTGAGTGGGTGTATGAACATCAAAGATGATGCAAATTGTATTTCATAGTGGACCTGGATCATCTGTGTCAGAGTTGCTTGGGGATGGGGTGGGTGCTGTTGAAAAATGCAGATTTCTGGGCCAGGCATGGTGGCTCATGCCTGTAATCTCAGCACTTTGGGAGCCCGAGGTGGGTGGATCACCTGAGGTTAGGAGTTCGAGACCAGTCTGAACAACATGGAGAAACCCCATGTCTCTACTAAAAATACAAAATTAGCGTGGTGTGTTGGCGCATGCCTGTAATCCCAGCTACTTGGGAGGCTGAGGCAGGAGAAATGTTTGAAACTGGGAGGTGGAGGTTGCAACGAGATGAGATCACGCCATTGCACTCTAGCCTGGGCAACGAGAGTGAAACTCTGTCTCAAACAAAAAACTAAACTAAACTATGCACTGCACTGCACTGCACTGCACTGCACTGCACTGCACTACATTACATTTCTGGCCATCACCCCAGACTACTAAATCAGTATCTGGGGATAGCATCTGGCCATTTGCATTTTAAAAAACTTATTCAGATGATTCTTAAACATATTGAAATTCAAGAACTGCTGCCTTAGAGAATCCCAGCAGAGCTGAGTGTGGGGTGGGGTGGTCATGATGGATCTCCTTTTTCTATCTGCTTTCCCTTCCTTACAGTCTGATGTCGATTTCTGGGACAAGTTGCAGGCAGAGTTGGAGGAGATGGCAAAACGGGATGCTGAGGCCCACCCCTGGCTTTCTGACTATGATGACCTTACGTCAGCTACCTATGATAAGGTGAGGTAAAAACTCTTAGTTTTTCAGGTTCCAGAACTTCCTTCTTTTTAACGTCTTTCCTTTAATCCTGAATTTGAAGGGTGCTTTTAAGTATTTTCTTGAGTCCCTTTCCACGAAAAGAAGTCTGAATAATTCCCTTGCCCTTCCTCTTCAGTGATTGAGTATAAACTTTATTCTTGGGATATAGATGTTAATGAGACTATCTTTGTCAATAACGACAGTCCAGTACATAACACCTGTGAAGGAGGTTTGCACATGCTTGCTGCATTAAAAGCACAGAGGAAGTAGCTCTGCTTGGAGGTCAGATTGGGAGCTTTTTGAGAAGACTGCTGACTCCTTTGGTGGGGAGTGTTAGTGGACAGACTATCCCTTTGCCTCCACATCTTAATATCTGTTTACTTTTTAAACTCACATATTCATTTTAAGTTCTTATCTTTTATAGGTAGTAGCCACTTGCCCTAATTTAGGGTTTTCAAAGAATTTATATTAGATAACTTAAATATTAGGGAAATTTCTTAGTAGTATGAAAGATGATTGCATTTTGCCTATAGCATGTGCTGTTGACTTAGAAGCATATGTTACTTCTGGGGTCTTACTGAAAAACAAATCTACCTGTGGGTTGTAGGATATTTGGGGATGTGTTTAATAACTGAGCTCCTGAGTTGAAACATGAAGAGGGGAAAGAATCACTTGGTTTTGAAAAAAGGCAAAACAGGAACTGGGGATGTGAGTAGTGATGTCTTTTTCTCAGTTCAGATCTGGTTGGGAAAGTATTGTGGGGCTGGAACCAGGGCCTGAGATGCAAACCAGGGTGCTGGAGATGGATCTTGATGTAATAAGGGAGCTATGCAAAGATGGGAAGATGCAGTTCAGAAAAAGGCTAGAGTTTGAGAGCCAGTGAAGAACAGTATTAGGAAAAATATGATTTTGCTTATTATTCCAGTCTGATCTGGATTTTTCTAACTATCCTGTGTGATATAAGGGAAAAGACAGCTGGGACCTTGCCATGTATTTCACTAGACTATGAGTTCATTGTATATAATTTTGATAAGGAAGAACTGAAGGAAATATAGATAACACTTTTGTTATTATTTTGTATTAACAATTTGATAAGTCACATAGGCCCCATCAACTTATAAATGGAAAGTTGTACATTTATGTAAAAATGTCCATGCTTTTCATACATATAGACATAATACTAGTTTTGTATGAGCAGCATTTTCTTTTATCATTTATTACTCTCGTATTTATGACATGCTGGCCAGAATACATTTTTTTTTTTCAGACACATAGAACAATGTGACAAATTAGAAAGCAAATTTTTTTTTAGAAAAAAAATCACATTTGATCAGGTTCCAAGAATAGAAATGTGGAAAGGATAGTCTTTTCGATAAATGGTATTGGAGAAACTGCATATCCATGTGCAAAAGAGTGAAACTGAACCGTTACCTCACACTATGTACAAAACTTAATCCAAAATGGCTTAAAGACCCAAATGCAGTACCCAAAACCGTAAAATGCCTAGAAGAAAACATAGGGAGAAAGTTTCTTGACATTAGTCTTTGCAATGATTTTTGGGATATGAGCTTTTGGTGTCATATCCAGAATACATTTTTTAATTAAAAACTTTAAAAGTATGTTTGTAGATTCTTGAGCCCTACTTGATATCATTGATACTTTGGGATATTGCAAAATTAGGACTAGAAATACTTGCATTAATGTTCCTCAAAAAGTGATGTAGTAAGCAATTAGACAGTATCTGGCTTTAAGCTAATATTGAATTCCATGTCAATAGAACTTTTTAAAAACAAAGGACTTGACTCTTGATTGTTACATAAATTCATGGATCTCTTTGAATGCACTGTTTGTTTATTGATAGCCCTTATATTTTCAGAGACAATTTACATTGCAGCTCAGGCAGATATTAATATACTATTATGATAAAAGAGAAGTATGTGATGGGACAAACTCTTTGTAGTGATCATTTCTGCAGTTTGATCCTATGAGATTTTGGAGCAGACCAGACCGTGTATCAGATAAAATTAATGACTTGGGTTTGGCTTTTCAGGATGTAACAGTGAAGCCAAGCTTATCCTGTGTTCTGTGGGTTGTTGAGGGATCCCCCAGAGTACTCTTTTTCCATCATCTATGCAAATATTCTAATTTTGGAAAATTCCTCTTTGATCAGCAATTGATGAGACTTCAAGGAGGGTAGATAATATGGATGAGAGGAAACTTAGAGAATCCTGTGGTTGCAAGATGGTGGCATTGAGTTGTTGTATTATCTAATGAAGACACCTGAAGAGCATTCGCATCACTTCTGGCTGTCATATACAGGCCATCATATCTTAAGGAAGTATCTAGAGCAGTGAGGATAATAGCTATTTACAGATAGTATCTTAAGCTTTTTGGTAAGGCGTTGGTGAAGATTCCCATTTGATGTTCTCAATGGCTCTGAGAGGCAGGAATTACTTTTATTAGGAAACTGCATTATAGATGACAGTAATCTCTGTTTTCTGTAGAGTGGCTTAAAACACGTATTAATGATGAACAATAGTTGAGGTTGAATGCAGAAGGATTTATTTTATTGAACTGTAATAGTCTAGGGCAAGGGCCAGCACACTGGCTTGTGGGATAAATCTTTATGTTTTTAGTGATCCACTAGCTGAGGATGGTTTTAACATTTTTAAATGGTTGGAGAAAATCAAAAGAGTAATACTTTGTGACAAGTGAAAATTATATAAAATTCAAATTTTAGTGTCCATAAATAAAATGTTATTGGAAGACAGCCGTGCTCATTTGTTTACTTATGTCTGGCTGCTTTCGCACTACAACAGTAGAGGTGAGTAGTTGCAGCAGATCCACGAAGCCTGAAATATTTATTATCTGGCCCTTCGCAGAAAAAGTTTGCTGATCACTGGACTAGCGTCATTTTCTGCCTTCTTAGTTTTTATATTATGCAGAGATGTCCAAAAACACACTTGTTTTCAATATAAATATACTTTCTATACATTTATCTCAAATCTACTATAATATGTCTTTCTTCTTAAACCCCCCATTGTAATTATTTAATTTTCATTTGTGACAAATAATTTGCATCTGATCATGACTTAGAATTTTGCTGGTAAGATTTAAGTGTTTTTGATTCTTTATCATTTTCACAATAATAATGAAAAAGGGCCTCATGTCTTTATTTTGTACAGTTTTATCTGAATTTATTCTTAACTGCATTTAGAAAGACCTCCACCTGTTGTTTTGCATCTTGTTTTCGTTCTGGTGTATTATTTTATGATGGTAACTACTCTCCAAAAACGGACTTTTTATTTGCATGTCCCAGATTTTGCAGCTTACTAGTGACTTCCCCTTTACCTCATTTCTTCTCTGCCTAGTGTAAAATGCCAGTTGACAAAGCTTTGCAGATAGTATCGTAACTCTTCTCTAAAGTGAGAAATCCTCAGCTGGAAGAGAATGGTGTCTTTCTGAAGTATTCTCTGCCATCTGGATTTTGGGATCCAGCTTTTGCTTACTGTCAGATACAGATTAATATTCATGATTATTAAGAATGAAATCGGGGAATAAATTAACATTTTCAAAATGCTTGAAAATGTTTTATCTAGTTGACATGTGGAATGACTCTGAGCTAAGTAAGAGTTATATTTGAATAGCAGGACTCCAAACAACATTTCCTTTATACATCATCACATTATTGAAGGATAACAAGAAATGCACTTTGCATAGCTAGGGACACTTTGTCTCATTACTATAAGCAGATCCTGTTGAGACATTCTGCCCCGTGGTGAGAAGTCAAGGTGTGGGAATACAAGCCTGTGATGACTTCCTAAAATAAGCTTATTTCCAGCGCAGATGAATTTGTAGACTTTCCTAGCTTCCCAGGTATCATGAACAGGAGATGGGAGCACAAACCTGATACCAAATGATTTTACTTGTGTCATACATGATCTTTATAATATGGAGAATTTGCCAGCAATTAATTCCGGAACCTGTTTGGAGGCCCTCAGCTTCTCTGCCTGCTGGTTGTCATCCTCACATCCCTGCTGTTCTGACGGTGCCACCTCTCAGTCCATCTCTCACGTGCTTTTCTTGTAGGGGTACCAGTTTGAGGAGGAGAACCCCTTGCGTGATCACCCTCAGCCTTTTGAAGAAGGGCTGCGGCGCCTTCAGGAGGGGGACCTGCCAAATGCTGTGCTGCTTTTTGAGGCAGCTGTGCAGCAGGATCCTAAGCACATGGAAGTGAGTGACTCCATAGTCTCATTTCTGGCTAGAGACTGCTTCCTCCATCTTGAGAAAGGCCCCAAGGAGAGTAGTGCAGATGGGTTAGGGCCTGGGTGATGGCCTAGGATAGGGGCTTGAGAGCGAGATGGTGAGTGGGAGAAGCCAGGGGGAAGGGCGAATGGAGAGGTGAATATGGGGTGATGGAATCTGTCAACTTCCCTCTAGGCTTGGCAGTATCTGGGTACCACCCAGGCAGAGAATGAACAAGAACTATTAGCCATCAGTGCATTGCGGAGGTGAGTACACTGAAAGGTGTGGGTGAGGTGCTTCCAAGGCTCTGCATATAACCTTTTGAATGACAGAAGCCCAGACCTGGATCCTTGTCTTCTTTCTGAGTGCTATCAAGAGTGTTTTCTCATGCTGAAACTCTGAGGGTTGGAGTGAATTCCATTCCTTCATCGGCTTTTGATTTTATTTGCGGCTTTGGTTGGCTCCTTGCCTGCTAAAACCTTCCCCTTAGATCTGTAACTTTATTATTAACTCATGTCAGAGGAGTCACAGGTGAGGCCATTGTGACTCTGCATTTCAAAGCTTGGCTTGGATCCCAGGGTGCTCACATGTGCCAGTGTCAGTCATTGCAGATATCAAGTCTGCCCATCCCTGATCAAACAGGTGTCTGGAGCTAAAGCCAGATAACCAGACAGCACTGATGGCGCTGGCTGTGAGCTTCACCAACGAGTCCCTGCAGCGACAGGCCTGTGAAACCCTACGAGACTGGCTGCGGTACACACCAGCCTATGCCCATCTGGTGACACCTGCTGAAGAAGGGGCTGGTGGGGCAGGACTGGGCCCCAGCAAGCGTATCCTGGGATCTCTCTTGTCTGAGTGAGTATGAGGGGTTCCTAGGATGAGGAATTACAGTAACCTAAGTCCCAGTAGGAGGGTGACCTTGGTTTTGGAAGTTTGGATGGATTGAGACTGAAGGGTCCTGAGAATGGGATGGGAAACCTAGGATCAAGTTGAAGGAGGTCTGCATTCTACAGTTCAGTGCTAGGATGAAATAGAAAAACAGGCTTCTATATTGGACTTTGAGAGTAGAAGAGATGACTGATAGATTGATGAATGTTGGGGATATGGTTGATCAATGAAGAAATTAATTTGGGGGGATGGGAATAGAGACATTCATCTACCTACTTTGTGTTTTTTTCCTTTTCATCCAGCTCCCTGTTTCTTGAAGTGAAAGAGCTCTTCCTGGCAGCTGTGCGGCTGGACCCTACCTCCATTGACCCTGATGTGCAGTGTGGCTTGGGAGTCCTTTTCAACCTGAGTGGGGAGTATGACAAGGCCGTGGACTGCTTCACAGCTGCCCTCAGCGTTCGTCCCAATGTGAGCCCAGGGGAGGAATGGAAATGGGACATGACTGTGTACCTTATTGAAGAGCCATTTGTTGGGAAGCTGGGTTTGATGGTGCATGCCTGTAGTCCCAGCTACTTGGGAGGCTGAAGTGGGAGGATCACTTGAGCCTGGGAGTTCAAATCCAGCCTGGGCAACATAGCAAGACCCTGCCCACCCCCACAAAAAAGAATAATTTGTTCAGACTTTTGGAGTCTTGGGGTATTTCATTCCAGTGTTCCATGTACTGACTGCCTTGGGAGGACTGGGAAAAGAAGGCTGGGAGTGTAGGGTCATCTGGACATAAGAGAGTCTGCATAGGGTGAGAGGGGCTACATTGTAGCCACACACCGAACTGTTGAGAATGGAATGGGACGAAACATGTTAGCTAACAGAGTAGTGAAACAGCTGGAGTAATGTGCAGAGTTTGAGCTGAGTCGGTGGAGTAATGTGCAGAGTTTGAGCTGAGTCAAGCTGTTCCCATCCGTTCTGCATCCCTATCCCAGGACTATTTGCTGTGGAATAAGCTAGGCGCCACCCTGGCCAATGGAAACCAGAGTGAAGAAGCAGTAGCTGCGTACCGCCGGGCCCTCGAGCTCCAGCCTGGCTATATCCGGTCCCGCTATAACCTGGGCATCAGCTGCATCAACCTCGGGGCTCACCGGTGAGAGTATCTATTGAGAAATGAATGAATGAGCTTTTTCTCCCTGCCTTTGGCCCTAGCTCCTTATTCTTAGATCCTGTTTGACTAACCAGCCCTAGCTTTCTCCCTCCCACTGCTAGCTGACCTGCTTCCTTCCATTGTTGTTCAGCTTAACAGCTCTCATTCCTCTTCTTCCTTACAGGGAGGCTGTGGAGCACTTTCTGGAGGCCCTGAACATGCAGAGGAAAAGCCGGGGCCCCCGGGGTGAAGGAGGTGCCATGTCGGAGAACATCTGGAGCACCCTGCGTTTGGCATTGTCTATGTTAGGCCAGAGCGATGCCTATGGGGCAGCCGACGCGCGGGATCTGTCCACCCTCCTAACTATGTTTGGCCTGCCCCAGTGACAGTGGGACGGGCTGCCCTGTGAGTGTCCACCTGGAGGGATCCCCGCTTTGGATGTGATTCCCTCTCCCCAAATGGGCCTACCAAGGGGGCGGGCTGATGACCATAAGCGGTACGGCCTTTCAGGAGCTGCCTCAACGTAGGGGTGGGTAGTCTGTGTTCTAGTTCCTACATAATTGTAGGAAAATGAGCTGTGTCATCTCTGAGTCCCTTGGTAATTCAAGGGCTGTACATCCAGCTACAGATCTCTCTGCTCATCATGCCCTTTCTTGGTGCTGCTTTTTGGGTAGGACCCCACGATTTAGGGTAACTGTTATCATCAGCTGCCATTTCTGATAGGGTCTACCACATCTGTAATGTCTGTCCTTTCCCCCACTTTTACTGGGAATTGATAGTCCAGCTTCCTTGGGCAGTGTAAGTAGGAGGTTCATCTGCTGTGCGCCTCTAATGTCTGTCTGGATGGGATGTGTTAGGAGTTGGCCTGTTGGGTTGAATTGTTGATTTGGCTGAGCAGAGCTGAGTTTTGGTAGGAGTGCTCATGGTTCTGTCATTCTTGGACCTCTCCTGGCTGAGCTCTGATTCCCTGTGAGCACGATGCTGATGCAATAGTCCTGTGTCATCACTGCAGCGGTCCTCAGGAGCTGCCAGGGCCAATTGCTACAGAGTGTCTGGGTGTGTGGCATAGGAGGAAGGTTTGCTTGTGAAATGAGGCTGGGTGGGAGCGGGGAGGGACTAGATCAGAAGAGATCAAGGGCTCTATTCAGGAACGTTGGTGGGAGGACAGAGCAAGTGGGAAGGGGGTATGGTGAGTGCGGCAATCCCTCATCCTCTTAGAAGCACCTGTGAATGGGAATTGAGCCAACTGTTATAGAAAATTGGTTCAGAAAGTGCAATCTTGCCAGATTTCTAGCAAATAGGTTCAGTGTTACCATAAGCCTTTGCTGTACTTCTTGAAATGTTTCTAGGGGAGAGCATTGGAAAATCCCCTTCCCCCATCTAGATCGAAGGAAGATGAGGGAGCAGCTTGGATTCTTCTCAGTTGTCCCCTGCATGGGGAGATACACTAACCCCCAGAAATGACTGCTAAGCCTCTTGCCTTGTCTTTAGTAGCTAATGATCAGAGAGATTTTTTTTTTAAACTACCATGGTCCCAGGATTCCATCCTGAAATTTATTTTTCTTTGTATGAATATGTGTAAATGATTTAAAAATAAAACTGTAAAATATTTGTACGAAGAATAAATGGAACTGATGTGGGTATGAGTTCTGCTGGTCATGAAGCTGGGATGGCAGAAGGTGAGTTGGCGTTTGGAGGACTGGGATTCAACAGTTTCTGCCTTTCAAATTCTCACTGGTATATTGGTTACCTGCTCATCCCTCTAAAAATGATAGAGCACAGGAGACAGGGTCCCTGTTCTCTGGGCCTCTGGGCTAGCAGGAGAAAGAGATGTCGATAATCATGAATTTTTACTCCTGTTACTACTACAAAGGAAAGTGTGCAGTGCCATATAATTGTTAGGTTGTTTTGTATTATGAATTACATGGAAGGATTTTGATAGTTTTTCAGTGCTTAGGGTTTCTAAAGCTTTTCATCTGGCTCTGCCTGCCTTTATCGGGAACTGTATCAAGTGCCATATCAAGATGGGTATTTATCCTGAGGAAAAATTTAAAAATATACACAAATATTTATACTTGGAGATAGATGTTTGTGGGCACATTAGACTTGGAAAAAAAATTTTTTTTTTTTTGTTTTTTTTTTTTTAAGGCAGTGTTTCACTCTTTTTGCCCAGGCTGGAGTGCAATGGCGTGATCTCAGCTCACTGCAGCCTCCGCCTCCTGGGTTCAAGCGATTCTCCTGCCTCAGCTTCCTAAGTAGATGGGATTACAGGCATGTGCCACCACGCCCAGCTAATTTTGTATTTTTATTAGAGACAGGGTTTCATCATGTTGGTCAGGCTGGTCTCGAACGCCCGACCTCAGGCAATCCACCCACCTCGGCCTCCCAAAGTGCTGGGATTACAGACGTGAGCCACCGTGCCCAGCCAAAAAAAAGTCTAACTTTTAAATTTATTTAAAAAGTTTTTCAAATAGAGACTAGATCTCACTATGTTGACCAGGCTGGTCTTGAACTCCTGGCCTCAAGGAATCCTGCCTCAGCCTCCCAAAGTTCTGGGATCACAGGGAGGAGCACCATACCTGGCCAAAGTCTAATTTTTTTTTTCCGGTGAGCTCAAAAGCTGCCAGAAAAAAAAAAAAAAAAAAAAAAAACCCAAAAAACAAAAAAAACAGGTCTAAAAGACAACTGGGTAAGTAAATTGTCCAGACAGTGAAATATAGCTATTGCTATTTAATCATTTATGGAATAATTTCCAGTGACAATAGATGCTAACAATATAGTGAGAAAAATGGTTGGTCAATTATTTACAGATTGTCTTAAGAAAAAAATGCATTGAAAAGACAATAGGGAACTATCCCAATGTGCTAAAAGTGGGGAGATCATACTTCTCTGTAATTCTCAAATTTTCTTGGTGCATGTTTGATACTTTTCTAGAGGAGAAAATTAAACACCTGGGGGAGGAAAACAGGAAGCTGTTGTGGCACCTGTCACCACCTGGGGGATCACGAGGCAGCTGGTGTCTTGGGCTCTGCAGGTTGGTGGTGCAAAGACCCAGGCGGGAAGTGGGCTGGGCAGGTGGAGGAGCAGTTTCCACACTACATAGGTGCAGGACATGACAAAGTCTGGCTGTGTAAATGACTTAAGAATTAAGCTATAAAATACCTAGGAATCCAACTTACAAGGGATGTGAAGGACCTCTTCAAGGAGAACTACAAACCAGTGCTCAAGGAAATAAAAGAGGATACAAACAAATGGAAGAACATTCCATGCTCATGGGTAGGAAGAATCAATATTGTGAAAATGGCCATACTGCCCAAGGTAATTTACAGATTCAATGCCATCCCCATCAAGCTACCAATGACTTTCTTCACAGAATTGGAAAAAACTACTTTAAAGTTCATATGGAACCAAAAAAGAGCCCACATCACCAAGTCAATCCTAAGCCAAAAGAACAAAGCTGGAGGCATCACACTACCTGACTTCTTCAAACTATACTACAAGGCTACAGTAACCAAAACAGCATGGTACTGGTACCAAAACAGAGATATAGATCAATGGAACAGAACAGAGCCCTCAGAAATAACACCGCATATCTACAACTATCTGATCTTTGACAAACCTGACAAAAGCAATGGGGAAAGGATTCCCTATTTAATAAATGGTGCAGGGAAAACTGGCTAGCCATATGTAGAAAGCTGAAACTGGATCCCTTCCTTACACCTTATACAAAAATCAATTCAAGATGGATTAAAGACTTACATGTTAGACCTAAAACCATAAAAACCCTAGAAGAAAACCTAGGCATTACCATTCAGGACATAGGCATGGGCAAGGACTTCATGTCTAAAACACCAAAAGCAATGGCAACAAAAGACAAAATTGACAAATGGGATCTAATTAAACTAAAGAGCTTCTGCACAGCAAAAGAAACTACCAACAGAGTGAACAGGCAACCTACAAAATGGGAGAAAATTTTCGCAACCTACTCATCTGACAAAGGGCTAATATCCAGAATCTACAATGAACTCAAACAAATTTACAAGAAAAAAACAACCCCATCAAAAAGTGGGCGAAGGACATGAACAGACACTTTTCAAAAGAAGACATTTATGCAGCCAAAAAACACATGAAAAAATGCTCACCATCACTGGCCATCAGAGAAATGCAAATCAAAACCACAATGAGATACCATCTCACACCAGTTAGAATGGCAGTCATTAAAAAGTCAGGAAACAACAGGTGCTGGACAGGATGTGGAGAAATAGGAACACTTTTACACTGTTGGTGGGACTGTAAACTAGTTCAACCATTGTGGAAGTCAGTGTGGTGATTCCTCAGGGATCTAGAACTAGAAATACCATTTGACCCAGCCATCCCATTACTGGGTATATTCCCAAAGGACTACAAATCATGCTGCTATAAAGACGCACACGTATGTTTATTGCGGCACTATTCACAATAGCAAAGACTTGGAACCAACCCAAATGTCCAACAACGATAGACTGGATTAAGAAAATGTGGCACATATACACCATGGAATACTATGCAGCCGTAAAAAATGATGAGTTCATGTCCTTTGTAGGGACATGGATGAAATTGGAAATCATTCTCAGTAAACTATCACAAGAACAAAAAACCAAACACTGCATGTTCTCACTCATAGGTGGGAATTGAACAATAAGAACACATGGACACAGGAAGGGGAACATCACACTCTGGGGACTGTTGTGGGGTGGGGGGAGGGGGGAGGGATAGCATTAGGAGATATACCTAATGCTAAATGACGAGTTAATGGGTGCAGCACACCAGCATGGCACATGTATACATATGTAACTAACCTGCACATTGTGCACATGTACCCTAAAACTTAAAGTATAATAATAATAAAATAAAAAAAGAATTATTCTCTTAAAAAATTGTGAATGTTACATTATTCATGTTTTTACATTAAAAACATGAATAGATGTTGAAACTAATTTCTTTGGAAATCTTCGGATATAGACTATTACCTATTAATATAATACTGATAATGATATCAGTATTATATTAGTCAAAAGTTCTAAATTCATCTTGGGATTTTAGAAATTATATTGAAGCTAGCATCAATGAGCAATACAATTATTGTTGATAACCCAAATTTATCAGAGACGTGGCATCTTAAAATTTTACTCAGATTATGCATTTGGGTGACTTTGTAGTCCGCAAAATTTGCAGTCACTAAGGCTAAGGTTAAGAAAACTATTTTATAAATGGACAAAGGACATGAACAGACACTTTTCAAAATAAGACATTCATTTGGTCAACAAATAAATGAAAAAATGCTCAACATTACTAATGAAATGCAAATCAAAACCACAATGAGATACCATCTCACACCAGTCAGAATGACTATTATTAAAAAGTCAAAAAAGTAACATGTTAGTGAGGTTGCAGAGAGAAGGGGACTTATACTCTGTTGGTGGGAGTGTAAATCAGTTCAGCCACTGTGGGAAGCAGTTTGGAAATTTCTCAAAGAACTTAGAACTACCATTTGACCAAGTAGTCCCATTACAGAGTATATACCCAAAGGAGAATAAATCACTACCCAAAAGACACATGCACTCATATGTTCATTGCAGCAGTATTCATGATAGCAACGACGTGGAATCAACCTGGATGCCCATCAATGGTGGACTGGATAAAGCAAATGTGATACATATGCAATATAGAATACTATGCATCCGCGAAAAAGAACAAAATCACGACCTTCGCAGCAGCATGGTTGCCGCTGGAGGCCATTATCCTAAGCAAATTAACACGGGAACAGAAAACCAAATACCACAGATTCTCACTTATAAGTGACAGCTAAACATTTAGTACACATGAACATAAAGATAGGAACGGCAGACACTGCAGACTACCAGAGAGGTGGAGGGGGATGAAGGTTGAAAAACTGTTGGGTACTATGCTCACTCTTCTGGGTGACGGGATCATTTGTACACCAAACCTCAGCGACATGCAGTTTATCCATGTAACAAACCTGCATGTGTACTTCAGAACCTGGAATAAAAGTCAAAAACAAAACAAAAGCCATTTTACAAAGACGCGATTTAAATTATTTGTAATCAATTTAAATATATTAATTAAATTAAAAAAAAATTTTTTTTTGAGATGGAGTTTCACTCTTGTTGCCCAGGCTGGAGTGCAATGGCACGATCTCGGCTCACTGCAACCTCTGCCTCCCCGGTTCAAGCGATTCTCCTGCCTCAGCCTCCCGAGTAGCTGCTATTACAGGCGCCTGCCACCATGCCAGGCTAATTTTTGTATTTTTAGTAGAGACAAGGTTTCACCACATTGGCCAGGCTGGTCTTGAACTCCTGACGTCAGGTGATCCACCCGCCTTAGCTTCCCAAAGTGCTGGGATTACAGGCGTGAGCCACCGTGCCCGGCCCAAATTCCTTAAACACTCACACCCATATATACATTACCTACTCTTAAATAATGACAAAGGTAATAACAACTTACTTTATCTCCAGGGCAAGTGTAAGTGATTTAAATTTCATTTAATCTAGTATTTTAGAAAGGAAAATCCAAACTCTTGCATAAGCTGTAATACCATGTTTGCATTTTTATTTTACACTGTGGGAAAAATGGGAGAGAATATTTATATAGAACTATTGTATGTCCAAAGTTCACAAATTGATTTACTTTGGAGTAAAATTGAATTATCATATTTATTTTACGATCATAACTTCTATTTTTTGTTTTTAAGATCTTAGGACAAAAAGGTTTGTAAATAAAATATCTTTCAATCTGTAACTATATATTTGAATGAAATTTAGACCCAGAACCTGGAATAAAAGTCAAAAACAAAACAACTTTTAGAAACTTAGACCCAAAACTTTTTGTATTATTTTTATTTTCTCTTTAGTCTTTACGTGACTATTAATCACTAGCCTATTGCCCATTTGTATTTCTTTTGTATTTTTTCTTGTAACACAGCAGGGACCCTGAAGTCATTAAACCAAAGTAAGATTTCCTTTATTTCCATCCAACAACTTTTTAAAGGAGATAAAGTGTTTGTGTTAGAGAATAGGAATGTTTAATCTTTTGTTAATAAATTATTACTTTATTCACACTAATTCATACGTGTTTATTTTTTTTCTTCACATCAATGTAGTAGTTACTTTTAACCATGACTTTATAATTCAAAGTAATCCAGTGTTTCATTTGAAAAAACCTTTCCCAAGTAGAAAACCTTCATTTTAAGATTTAGTTCTATGAACTATCAGCCCATGGGGAATATTAACATATTTAGTAGATTTGGGCAAATTAAGGTGGTGACAATTAAGAATGTGTTCTCATTTTCCAAGTAGGAAAGTTTTTCGTAAAGGGCAAGTGCATTTAAAGCATTCAGAGTTTGGTTTGGGATTTACCTTTTCTTGGGAAGTATATTAGTTATATCTTGCTGCATAAAAACCACTCCAAAATTTAGTGGCTTAAAACAACAATAATTAATTATCTCTGACTATTCTGTGGATTGGCAATCTGGGCGCTTCTTCGCTGTACTCACCGGGGAACATTCATGGGGCCACCTGCCGTCATTTGATGCCTCAACTAGGGCTGGGATGTTCCAAGGTGGAGGAGAATTCCTCAGTAGGTGAGACGGCCTCGTTACAGCATGGTGGTCTCAGGGTGTCAAAATGACAGAGCAGGAACTGCAAAGCCTCTCAAAAGCAAGTCTCTGGATCTCACACAATCTCACTCCTGTCACCTTTCATTGGTCAAAACAAATTATTTATTTTACAAGGCTCTGCCTTTGGTCCCACAGGCAGGAGGTCAGACTGCTGCATCAGGGCAGGCATAACTGGGGCCGCCTGTCCCTGTGGAGAATGACCCTTGGTGGCCTGGGCTGGCTGCAGGGGCTTTGCAGCCTCCACCCATACACCCAAGCTGGAAATGACTTAGGGGGCCAACAGGGACACTATAGGCCCTGCTGCATAGCGAGTGTCCTGCATGTGCACCTGTACATTCCTCCCCTCCCTGAGTTGTACGGGCTGCACTGTGCCTTTACCCTAAGTCCCTTCACAGTCAGTCCCTGGCTGTTGTCCCTTTGTGGTGGTCAGCAAGAGACGTGCAGTTTCAGTTCCATGCAGAGTGGGATGGCAACTTCAGGGAGGGGAGTTAGTTAGTCTAACTAATATCAGTTAGACGTTATTTTACTTATAAGTTCAACCCTGAATCAAGGGTGTGAAGAAATAGACTCCATCTCTTGATGGGGAGATGGAGAGAGAAGAAATGACACACTGCAAAGAGATGTGGATACAGGGAGGTATGATTTATTGACGATTATTATGATAGTGACCTATCACCAGTAGCCTTTAAGAGTCCTTCCAGGATTCATATAGATGCTTAATGGTCTTTCTTATATCAACTAAAGTAGGAATTCATTGCAATTGAGACACTTTCTGGTCTTTAAATATAAGAATATTCTAGAGACGGGCAAACTATTCTAGGTCAAAGTTTCCTCAAGTGGAAACTGTACGACTGGGTTTTATTCAATTTACCCATTTGTTTTTCTTTAGAAATATACAGCCTCTGCAGACACTGCTTCTGAATGAACGGGCTGGAGTTTCCTTGGGATCCTGAACTCATATTGGATTCTCTACCTACCATCTTGGACAATTCATGTAGGAAAACAAATCCTCATTTGTTCAAACAATAGATGAAAATTATTAAAGTTTTGACACATATTAAATGGCGGCCTTGTGTTTCAAAGAAAAGGAAAGAGATAGTTGAATCAGGGTAAAACAACCCACTCACAACCTTAGGCTAAGACACTCACACAGCTTGTCTTCTAGCAAACTGCGTATTTAATCTGCTAAGGCAATGGGGACCTTGTCTTGAGATAGAACTGCCACTCAGGGTCATATCTTTTGTTCTCCTCTAAACTCTACTCTAGTTGAAGTTTTCTAACAATCTGGGAACCCTTATCCCCCAATCCCTGCAGAATGGCTTAATCTAACACGTCGTAAAGAAGGAAACTTCTTGTCTTAACTTGGTTTAAAAAATCTTTCTAACGACACAATTTTCAAAGGCTTCATCAGTTTAAAAAGATTATTGTGCTGACTCCATTAGCAATATCTGGCAGCCGCTACTAGGCAGCAAAACCTACCATGACTACCACTATTATATATTTGCAGTTCTCTTACTTTTTGGTGTTTTTTTGAAAAAAATTTTTTAATTTTTGTAGGTACATAGTAGGTATATATATTTATGGGCTACATGAGATATTTTGATACAGGAATGCAATATGTAATAAACACAGGGTAAATAGGGTATCCATTACCCAAGCATTTATCCTTTGTGTTACAGACACTCCAGTGATATTCTTTTAGTTATTTATAATGTATAATTAATTATTTTTGACTATAGTCACCATGTTGTGTTAGAGAATACTAGGTCTTATTCATTCTTTATAATTATTCTTTTGTACCCATTAACCATCCTCACTCCCCCCCACCCACCCCACTACCCTTCCTAGCCTCTGGTAACCATCCTTCTACTCTATCTCCGTGAGTTCAGTTGTTTTAATTTTTACTTCCCACAAATAAGTGAGAACATGTGACGTTTATCTTTCTTTGCCTGGTTAATTTCACTTAACATAATGACCTCCAGTTCCAACCATGTTGTTGCAAATGACAGGATCTCATTCTTCTTTATGGTGTTCTCAAAGCCAAAATATCTTCAATTGTTTGGACCATACTAGAAGCAGGCACAAAGTCAGACAGCCTTCAACATTCAAACAGAAATGGACACCAACACTCTTCTGGCCCGTATTTGGGCTCACTTAGGAAGTTAAAATGAGATCTATAATCTCAATGTTTTTGTTTGAATAGCTGACCTAACAGTGGAAGAAGACAACATGATAGGCATATGTGTTCCAGGTAAGAGAAAGAAAAAAGCATCAATCATAGGAGTCCAAACTATTTGGAATTGCCAACTCTGGCACTAAACAGCAGATGGCGCCAAAGGACCTTAGTAGCAACCAAGAGATTTGCTGCCATCTCTCTTTCTGCTTTCTCCTCCATCTACCCAAGATTGCTAGGCCTCAAGGTCTGGAGTTAAGAGCATAGGTTCAGGAGTCTGACTGCCCACCTTCACAGTACCACATTTGCTACTTGGGTGACCTTAGATGACTGACTTAACTTGGTTTTCCTCTTTGCAGAATAGGAATGTTAAGAAAAACCCTACCTCCCAGGGTTATTGGTAAGATTAGAATAATTATTACATATCATCATAAGGAATAGTTCCTGCCATATAAGTTTAAAAAATGTTAGCTATTACTCACTGAAACGCATTCCTTTCTATATTTTAACATCTTCAGTGGCATCTAATCTTGATGCATTGCCACCTCTCCTTTAATCCCCACCTAGGCTCCGTGGGGAACTTCCTATGACAAATTGACTAGGAAAAAAATTCAGGTCTGATTTACAGATGGTTCTGATGATATGCTGGTACCTCCTAAAAGTGGATGACCACGGCATTATAGAATTCCCCAAGGGTGATCCTGAAAGGCAGTTAGGAAGAAATATCTTCTTAATGGTCAGAACTTTGAGCAGTGCACTTAGCTGTCCATTTTACCTGGAAGGAGAAAGGCCAGAAGTTATGGATCTAAGCTGATTCACGGGTAGTGGCGGATGGTTTGGCTCTATGTTCAGGGACTTAGGGAGGACTGACTATGAATTAGAGAAGAAGCATGTAGATCAATCTTTTGTAAGGGCACAGGTGTGGAGATATTCGTGTTCCATGTGAATGCTCACTAAATGTCATCTGTTATAGAGGTGGTGCTCAAAAGTCATCTTGGCAAGATGACCTTTTTTGTGAATGGCAACCAGCTGCTTTCCCAAGCCACTTCAGTGCTGCTCATTGGACCAATGAACAGGGTGATGATATTAGATCTCTTCCATCATGGATAAGGACAAGATTATTTTCCTCACTAGAATAGATACTTACTTGATATGGATTTGTCTTTCTTGTGCATGACATTTCTGCTGCCACTATGATTCTTGGATGTATTGAATTCTTATCCACCATGATGGTATCCTATGTAATACTGCTTCTGTACTACGAATTCATTGTACAGCAAAAAACCCAGGCAATATGTTCATACCCATGTTATTCAACAATCTTACGTATATCATTTCATCACTCAGAAGTAACTGGCCTGATAGAATTATGAAATAGTTTGTTGACAACTCAATTATGGCATCAGCTGAGTGACAATGCCATGAGGGGTTAGGGTTCTGTCCTATAAGATGTAGTGTCTGATCAGAATCAGTGACCAATATATGGTAGTTTCTCTCCCATAGTCAGAAAATATAGGTCTAGGAACAAACGGGTGGAAGGAGAAGTGGCTTTCTTCATTGTTATCTATTATCCACACACAAAATGTGTGCTTTTTGTTCCTGCAACTTTGGAAACTTTGATTTAGATTCTTAGTTCTCAAGGGATGAATACGTCTACCAGGGTACATAATTATGATTCCATTGAACTGGAAGTTGAGACATCACCTGATTATTTTGGGCTTCTTGTTTATTCTGTTGTCTCTACAGCATCCTTCAAGATCAGCTCATGAGGACTCTCCTTTCACAGTGGTGAAAGGCTAATTAAGCTGTTTTCTCAAGCAAAACAACTCTTTTTACACCTCATCTCTATCCTTATGTCATGTAGACAGTGCTGCAGTTCTTTTTTTCATAGCAAATTTTTCTTCTTGTTTTACTTCTATGTGGTTTTAATTGAAAAGCAGCCAAATGATAAATACACATATAAACATCCTGCCTCCTCTGTTATGTCTGATTAAGACTTAGTAAGAGGCCTCAGGGTCTCCACCTGTTAGTATGTTGTGGTTTGTCTTGTGTATCTTTGGAGACAGGAGAGATGTGTGGCTTGTATACGTTTGTTGGAAATAAACTGCTTCTGTTTTTGAAAATTGGAATTTGCTTTATTTATTGCTGAAAACTTATGCCTTTGAAATGAAAATATAAATTGCCTAAGTAATGTTCTGAAAACCAATTCTTACATAAGATAATTTCTCTTAAATGTCTAGCACAGTGCCATTCAAGCATTCAATAAACATTAGTTGAGTATCGTTTAAGTTATAGACATTGGAAATACAGAGTCACTCCCCTCAAAATCTAGCCTAGAAGAGTAAGTGGCCAGAAATAAATAAGTTAACAATTTCAGGCACCAGAGTAGCAGTAGCTGTGAGGTAAAATGGGGGCATAAGGGAGGTAAGTAGATATAGGCTTTCCCCCAGTCTTGGGCCCTATCAGAGCCCCAGCAGATGCCTGTGGCCTGCAGAGGCCTTAGCATGCCCAGATGAGGAAGGATTCAATAAGGAAAGAAAGAATCTGTTTGCAGACTTGGAGTCTCACTCTTTTTGCCCAGGCTGGAGTGCAGTGGCTCAATCTCAGCTTGCTGCAAACTCTGCCTCCCAGGTTCAAGCAATTCTCCTGCCTCAGCCTCCCGAGTAGCTGGGATTGCAGGCGCACACTACCATGCCTGACTAATTTTTGTATTTGTAGTAGAGACGGGGTTTCACCATGTTGGCCAGGCTGGTCTCCAACTCCTGACCTCAAGTGATCCACCCACCTTGGCTTCCCAAAGTGCTGAGATTATAGGCGTGAACCACCACGCCCGGCCACAGGCAGGACTTCAAAGTGCACCGAAGCTGCATGTGTAGGACAGATCACCTGTGTGGGAGCATGTGGCTTTGAACTCTGAGTACCAGCCAGAGATGGACAATCTTGGATCAGATGCCCAAATTCTGTTCCTCCTCTGTCTTCTGGCTTAAAGATAGAACTGTGGTGTCATTAACCTTGGATTCAATTACCTTAAGAATCTCCACTCACAAGAGCTCAAATTGCTTTGGAGTTGTTAATTACACCAGCTTCTGAACAGAGGTGGATTAATTGTGAAGCTAATGAAGTTTAAGCTTCAGGACCTAAATTTCCCTGCACCAGCTACTTCCAAGGTTCTGGGAGGGGCCCTGACACTGTGTTTGCAAGGGCACATGCTTCTGTAAACTTTGCAAAAGTAAACTATTTTCAATGCAGTTAGTTAAGATGACTCTTTCCACTCCAACCCCCTCTCTGCCATACTTCTCCTTGAACTGGAGAGGGCTGAAGTAGGACCATGGAATTTCATATTGGTAATTTTGTATTCTTTTACTTATAGAGGGTTCCTCGAACTGCACAAACTTTAGTCTCCTCCCTGGATCCATCCCTGGTTCTGATCATGACTACGATTTCCCCCAAGTTGCCATTTAGATTGTATTAATATTAAAATGAGATAAAACAGTCCTTATTATTAAAAGAATGTATTGTCTTTTTTAAGAAAAGAAGCAATTCAGTGAAATTATTATTATTATTATTTTTGAGACAGAGTCTCACTCTCACCCAGGCTGGAGTGCAGTGGCGCGATCTCGACTCAACTGCAACCTCCACCGTGCCAGGCTCAAGCAATTCTCCTGCTTCAGCCCCCCAAGTAGCTGGGACTACAGGCACATGCCACCATGCCTGGCTAGTTTTTGTATTTGTGGTAGAGATGGGGTTTGCCATCTTGGCTAGGCTGGTCTTGAACTCCTGACCTCAGGTGATCCACCCTCCTCGGCCTCTCAGAATGCTGGGATTACAGGCTTGAGCCACTGTGCCAGGCCCAGTGAAATTATTTCTTACCCAAGAAGGCAATTAAAGGAGCCTGTGCATGGAGCACTAAATCTGGGGATCAGATTTGCCAAAAAAATCAAGAAGAAACTGAAGAGGTTTAAAATGCATATATTGCTTTTTCATTAGTATAGGAATGGTGGAAGAATAAAAATAAAATCAAAGATGATGGATTGATTCACCTGGAGGAAAGGAGAGATGATTAAGATTAAGGGTCATGGATCAGGGACAGAGGGGAAGAAATGGGAAGATGACTGTCAGTAGAGACAGACATAAAAAGAAAAAGGAGATGAATGCACGTAGGTCCAGCTGCTTTCAAAAAGAGTTTTAAATCTAGATGCCAGTAAATCAGAAATAAATTGTGACTGGAAGCCAACAAAGTCCAATAGAAGAAGCAAGGCGAGATCTAAGAGAGCTGCTTGGAATGAATATGAAGAAGGAAGCCTGGATCCAGGAAACTACTGAGAAGCACCTTAATGCAAAAGATTCCATCTTCTTTTCAAGTATTCTTTCTATATTATATTCATCAGAATGGGCTAGCTTATGCTGCTGGAACAAGTTAACCCCCAAATCTCCACAGCTCACACACACACCATTTATTTATCACCATGTTACAAACCTGCTGTGGTTGGTGGAGGACTTGGCTCCACATAGTAACTCAGGGACCCAGGTTGACCTGGGCTCCACCATCTTGTAGATGCACCATCTGGAACATGTAGTTGCTAGGGCAGCGGAAGAGAGAGACTGGAGCATCTTACTTGGACTTTTCACTGCCTCCACATGGAAGTGACACACATGACATCCATTCACACTTTATTGGCCAGAACTTGTCATTGGGGATTTGGAAAATAAATATTTAATGAGTATTCCTGTGTATGCTGCCTCCTATCTGAATCTTGATAGTGATGCTGTCAGTTTTTTCTTGCCTTGGAGAGGCTTCTGAGGTGTAGTTTCATGCAGAAATTGGATGCAGTCTGAGCCTCCCCAGAGTGGGATTTGAATACATTTTGTATTTGATTGCTTTGACCGGTAGGGTCTCCAGTTTAGTCGGTGCTGAGGGTGATTACTCGAATTTTGTGTCTCCCTCCTTCCCTACCTCCAATGTCCCCTGAGGGTCATTAACTTTAGGATTATTTTCATTCTATGTTCATGCATTCATTTCTTTATTTATCCAACATTTATTAAGCTCTTACTGTGTGTTATGGCTTTACTTGGCCCTGCAGATTCAACGAAGACTAAGACACAGTTCTTATTCTCAAGAAGCTCCCACTTTGGAGACGGTAAGCAAGTTAATACAGATTACATAGACATGCCAGCAATTTCTAGCTGGAAGGATCGGGAAGGACTCCATGTAGGTGACAGCTCAGTGGATTCATAAACTTGGGGAGATTTAGGAATTTATCATCTGTAGGAGGCTTAAAAATGTATACACAAGAACTTGGATATGCATAAATGTAGTGTTCTCTACTTTTTTTCTTTTCTCTTTTTTTTTTTGTATATTTTTATTTTACATTTGAAAAAGACTCAGAGGTGTGAAGAAACTTGTCAAGATCCTTCCTATATATTGGTTTAGGTGAGGCCTGGTTTTAAATCCAACCCAACTTTGTCTGGCTCTGAAAACTGGGCTCTTAGCCACCACATGATTCTGCTACCTAATCATCTATATGTTCCTATCTTTTCCTTTTTTACCAGAATAAAAGAGAAAAAGGGGGAAAAACCCCATTTTTTTCAAGCAAGGATTAATTTTTAATGACATCCTTTCCTGTGTTAAATGTGAAGTCTCTTTTGTCTCAATGCCAGTCAAGTATTTAGTTTTCAGTTTCTTTATACTATTTGTATTCAAAATATACTTGATCTTAAAAAAGTAGGGGAACACTTAATTTGGTCTGTTTTCAGATTCCTCCCATTAATTTGGCAAACATTCAAAATGGTCAGATGATTTAATTACTTATTATTTTTATGAGTTTAGTTATTCTAAAGTAGTTTCCAACCTATGGATCTTAGTTTCTAAGAGTCTTTTTTATTTTATTATTATTATTTTATTATTGTTATTATTATACTTTAAGTTCTAGGGTACATGTGCACAATGTGCAGGTTTGTTACATATGTGTACATGTGCCGTGTTGGTGTGCGGCACTCGTTAACTCGTCATTTGCATTAGGTATATCTCCTAATGCTATCCCTCCCCCCTCCCCCCACCCCACAACAGGCCCCGGTGTGTGATGTTCCCCACCCTGTGTCCAAGTGTTCTCATTGTTCAATTCCCACCTATGAGTGAGAACATGCGGTGTTTGCTTTTCTGTCCTTGCGATTGCTCAGAATGATGGTTTCTAGCTTCATCCATGTCTCTACAAAGGACATGAACTCATCCTTTTTTATGGCTGCATAGTATTCCATGGTGCATATGTGCTACCTTTTCTTAATCCAGTCTATCATTGATGGACATTTGGGTTGGTTCCAAGTCTTTGCTATTGTGAATAGTGCCACTATAAACATACATGTGCATATCTCTTTATAGCAGCATGATTTATAATCCTTTGGTTATATGCCCAGTAATGGGATGGCTGGGTCAAATGGTATTTCTAGTTCTAGATCCTTGAGGAATCGCCACACTGTCTTCTACAATGGTTGAACTAGTTTACAGTCCCACCAACAGTGTAAAAGTGTTCCTATTTCTCCACATCCTGTCCAGCACCTGTTGTTTCCTGACTTTTTAATGATTGCCATTCTAACTGGTATGAGATGGTATCTCATTGTGGTTTTGATTTGCATTCTCTGATGGCCAGTGATGATGAGCATTTTTTCATGTATCTGTTGGCTGCATAAATGTCTTCTTTTGAGAAGTGTCTGTTCATATCCTTTGCCTTCTTTTTGATGAGGCTGTTTGATTTTTTTCTTGTAAATCTGTTTAAGTTCTTTGTAGATTCTGGATATTAGCCCTTTGTCAGATGGGTATATTGTAAAAATTTTCTCCCATTCTGTAGGTTGCCTGTTCTGTCTGACGGTAGTTTCTTTTGCTGTGCAGAAGCTCTTTAGTTTAATTAGATCCCATTTGTCTGTTTTGGCTTTTGTTGCCATTGCTTTTGGTGTTTTAATCATGAAGTCCTTGCCCATGCCTATGGCCTGAATGGTATTGCCTAGGTTTTCTTCTAGGGTTTTTATGGTTTTAGGTCTAACATGTAAGTCTTTAATCCATCTTGAATTAATTTTTGTATAAGGTGTAAGGAAGGGATCCAGTTTCAGCTTTCTACATATGGCTAGCCAGTTTTCCCTGCACCATTTATTAAATAGGGAATCCTTTCCCCATTTCTTGTTTTTGTCAGGTTTGTCAAAGATCAGATGGTTGTAGATGTGTGGTATTATTTCCAAGGGCTCTATTCTGTTCCATTGGTCCATATCTCTGTTTTGATACCAGTACCATGCTGTTTTGACTACTGTAGCCTTGTAGTATAGTTTGAAGTCAGGTAGCGTGATACCTCTAGCTTTGTTCTTTTTGCTTAGGATTGACTTGGCAATGCGGGCTCCTTTTTGGTTCCATATGAACTTTAAAGTAGTTTTTTCTAATTCTGTGAAGAAAGTCATTGGTAGTTTGACAGGGATGGCATTGAATCTATAAATTACCTTAGGCAGTATGACCATTTTCACAATATTGATTCTTCCTATCCATGAGCATGGAATGTTCTTCCATTTGTTTGTGTCCTCTTTTATTTCGCTGAGCAGTGGTTTGTAGTTCTTTGTGGAGTGTAAGGCAATGTCATGTGATAAGAATGAGAAAATGGTGGGGTAGGAGTCTTAGTGGAGAATTGTTTAAAATTATCATTGCTGAAAATAGAAGAAAGAGCAAATTGTAAAAATAAAGGAGAAATGGGTAATGATAAGAGCACATTTGAGGCTGGAGAACATTAGTCTTCATTTTTTTAAGTCACTATTTAGTTGTGTGATATTCTCCAATATCACTCAAAAATATAGACGAAAAGCATGGTAAAAGTGGACAGTTAGATTGAAGCAGGATTAACATTTTGCCAAGAAGGTGCAATAAAAGGGCAGTGGGTAAGGGATCTAGGGATATTGGCATTAAGATGAAAGACTAAGAAACTAAGTGGATCAGAAAAGGAGAATTCAAGAAAAGGCAGATCAGTGGTGAGAAGACAAGGCACTGAAGATGTCAATGGGGATGGCAGGACTGAAGGTAGTTGTCTTAGTCTGCTCAGGCTGCTATAATAAAATATCTAGAGGCTGGAAGTCTAAAATCAGAGTGCGAGCAAGGTCAGGTCCTGGTGAGGGCCCTCTTCTGAGTTATAGACTGCCAACTTCTCATGGTGTTCTCACCTGACAGGGAGAGAGAGAGATCAAGCTCTTTAGTGTCTTTTTTTTTTTTTGAGAGGCAGGGTCTTGCTCTTTTGACCAAACTAGAATGCAGTGGTGTGATCATAGCTCCTGGTAGCCTCAGATCCCTGGGCTCAGGAGATTCTCTAACCTCAGCCTCTCAAACAGCTGGGACTACAGGTGTACACCACCATGCTTGACTAGTTTTTTTGTAAATTTTTTAGGAGAGACACAGTCTTGCTATCTTGCCTAGACTGGTTTCAAACTCCTCTCCTCAGTGATCTTACCACCTCAGCCTCCCAGAGTACCTAGGAAGACAGACACAAGCTACCATGCCCAGCATCTTTTCTTACAGGGACATGAATCCCATCATGAGGGTGCCACCCTCATAACCTCATCTAAACCCAGTGACCTCCTGAAGGCCCCATCTCCAAATACCATCACAGTGAGGAGTAGGGTTTTAGCACATGAGTTTTGGGGAGACACAATTGAGCCCATAGAAATAGTACTCAAAAGTGAGATGCATAGACTTACGATTTCAGAGATAGAACATTTACAGGTGATGCCAATACAAGGACATGGCCACAGGTAGATTAAGTGTCATGATACTCTCTGGAGATCAGGATCAAGGAAGGAAGAGAATAGGGGTAGGACTGATTATCCATATAAATGTAGGAGGCACTCAGGATAATGGTGGGACATGGAGTCAAAGGAAGGATCATGAACCTCATGCTGAAGGCTTTAATGAGTAAGGAATGACTGACAGGTTGGTAAATTATAGCAACCAAGAGTGGCATAGGGTGGTAAAAGTAAAGGGTGTGAGTCTCAAAAAGACAAGGGGATTGCTCACAGGGTCAGAGAAGTAATGGTCAGGAGGTGGTATTGGGAGCTCAGAGGATGCCAAACCTAAGGAGTGTAGAAGAATCAACATCCCCCTCTTGAAAAGGAAAAGTAGTAACATCTTTACATGGAAGAGCCAGGTCTCTGGAAAGGTAAATGATAAAGAGAACATCAAGTGAAGAAGATATAGAAGATGTGGATGTAGAATAGTTCCTTAACCACTCAATTGATAGTCTATCTAGAGGGCACTATGAAACGTTTCTGGAGGGAGAGGAAGAGTCAGGGAACAAACAGTCCTGTTCCTGCAACATGAAAATGAGAATGCAGGAAAAGAGAAATAAGCAGAGGAATTTATATGATGGGAACACCACAGATAGAAATGTGAGAGCTGGTACCTTAGGCTGGTGGCCAAAGTTTTACAAGAATTGGTCTCAGTGTTTTCCAGGTGGAGAGGAACAATAGAACATAGGGAGGTGCTGCCTGGATTAACTGCATTGACTGCTAGATGGTCCATAAAATAGGGTACCTGAGAAGCAGAAACCCAAAATATTTTTGAAAGAATTTAATACCCACTATTTTAAAAACATTCAAATAGCCAGCATGGGAAAAATAAGACTTTGGGAGGGGGGATTTCTTACATTTGTTTTATATGTTACTACTGTTTTTATGAATTATACTAAGAAGGGAATTCCATAATCTTGGTAACACCAAAGCCTTTCTATAGGACTTAGTTCTGTCCTTATACTTCTAAAAACATTCTCTGGTGACTAGAAACACCTCAGCCTGCCTGGGAGAAGACAAAACAGTCAAATTGATAGCCCAGGCTCTGGGGAGAGGTCTATAGTTTGAGGACACTGGTGGTGCCATGTGGTTCCATTGGCTCAGGAAACACCCTCACTTAGAAAGATAAAAGAAAATTCAGAACACAAGGTTCAAATCTTCAAGATGACATCATAGTCAAGCTCACACTTGGTAGGCAGATTATAATTCAAAAGCATAAAAGAGGGAATTTAAGAAATAATCAAATTCTGTCTCAAATTCTGTCTATACCACACTCACAGATCTATTTAATTACAAAAGAGTTGACATTTTCAGTACCCGAGACTCATTGCATTGTGTTTTCCCACTGATCTCAGCTTGTGAAAATTCTGTCTAACAAGAAAATGCACATCTTAGGCAATACTGATTTTGGCTTTATCTTTCTTTTTATGAAATACAAATATGGCTGACACTCAGAACATCTGAAATCAGCAAGGTTACCACACTAAGTTGATATGATTCCAGCAACACTTAATAGATTGGCATTTTTAGTTAGTCACACAGCCTACACAAGAGAAAATTTACATCTTCCATTTAATTGTAATATACTGGCAATAGCTAAAGACCCTTGTGTTAGCCAGCATTATTGCGGATGCAAGTGACAGAAATTTATTTCAAACAAGCCTGAGCAAAAGTGTTAATTATAAATCCATTTTGCTGGGAGCACCATCAAGGCAGCTTACGGAATCAAGACTGGAGGTGCCAAAACACCAGGATTAAAACATATTAACTTGTAAAACATCAGATCCCTCTCTTTCTCTCCCTCTCAATCACTCCATTTACTTTTTTCTGCGAGTTGTTATCTGATGAATTTCTTCCACAAAGCAGACAAAATAAACACCAGCAACTCTGGAGTCACCTCTCCTTAGGTCAAGGTCAAAATAGCCCTACTTCTCCCCCACCTCTACTTTGGAAAATTCTTGGAACATATGCTGATTGGCCAGGCTTTTGCCATCTGCCTTTCCCTGGGACTGTAACTTAAGGAGTCTAACCTGGGACATTTGTTCATCCCCAGGAGTGGATCTATAGGACCATGATTAATAGTCCCACCAGAATTACATGGAGGAAAAGAGGAGTTCTTAAAGGAACCATAAAACTAGTTACCATAGTACACTACAATGAGATCACTATGGCCATTCTCAAAAACATTCAGAATCTGGGGGCCCCAATTTGAACACAAGAAACACAGGAAAATATTAATTCTCTTTTATAAGACACAGCAATAGGTACTGGAGAAATAACTATGTAAAAGACAGAAATAATTACTTTTGTAGGCCTGGTGTGGTGACTCTTGCCTATAATCCCAGCATTTTCGAAGGCTGAGGCAGGAGGATCACTTGAATCCAGGAGTTTGAGACCAGCCTGGGCAACATAGTGAGCCCTATCTCTATTTTCTAAATAATAATAATAAAAATTCCTGTCCTCATCAAAAGAACAAATAATATAGGCAATTGTACAGTGGAAAAAGCGTGATGAAGCAGAAACACAGGTTACACTGGAAATGCGTGGAAGGGACATCTAACTTGGCCTGGGGAATCAGAGAGAGCACCCTGGGAGAAGTGACATCTAAGCCAAGGTAGAAAAGAGAAGTGAGTAGAGGGAGCATTGAGGGTAGAGAAACCAGCAAATGCAAAAGCTATGTCACTGGAGTTGTAAAATAAAGTGAATGGGATCAGTTTCCCTCTGTTTTTCTGCATCTGTGTGTGCTGACTCCATTTGGCCACATGCCAGTTGGTACACAGATGTTTGTCCCTTGCTGTTTTCTACAGCAGAGGAAATCACAATTGTGAATTCACAAAAAGAGTAACTTTAATGTAGATTGGGGCACTATGGAGAGGAAACCTGTCATGCACTGCTCCCCTGCCATCTCACAGATTATTCTGCCTTGCCATCCAGGAGTCTCACCTCTAAATTTTTCCACAGCACTCAGCCCCTTGGGAAATGTCAAGTCCCTCACTGAGATGGAGATGACTTCCCTCATTGAGATGACTTCCCTCACTGAGATGACTTCCCTTATAGGAAGCAGGCTCTCCAGGATGGACCATCTTACCTGGTTTTTGTGAAATTCTAATAAATAAAAATTTCCCCATCCCATTACACCCATGATTGACTCATACAAGATCCAGTTCTCATGTCTTCCGAGGTAGACATCTGTGCCCTCTCTGGAGTGCCCTATATGCTGTGTTGAAGTATTTCTCAGCAGCCTAAAACAATTACTTATTTTTGAAACATTTATTATTGAAAATCTCAAAAGACATACAAAAATAGACAAAATTGTATATTGAATTCTCATGTATCTACTGCCCCATTTCAACAATTATTACCTTATGGCTAATCCTGTTTTTTCATTACTCCTAACCAATCTCCAAAATTACATTTTATTCATAAATAGCTTTAGTATATATATCTAAAAAACAAGGACTCTAAAAACAAACATATTCTCCAATTATACCTAAAAGTTAACAATAATTGCTTCTTACGATCAAATATCCACCATTCACATTTTCATTGATTATCTAAGTCATGCATCTTTTCTTGCTACCATTTGTTCCAATTAAGCTCACACATTGGGTTAGTTGATAAGTGTTTTGTGTATCTTTTAATCTATGAATTTTCTCATTACCTTCTTTTTCCCTTGCAATTTGTTATTTTCAAGAACTGAGTTGTTGGTTTTTTTGAATATTTCACAGCTTGAATTTTGCTAATTGCATACATATGGTGTGGTTTACATGTTCTTCTGTTCCCCTACATTTCCTGTAAATTGATCTAGAGGTTTAGTCAGACTCTTGCTTGATTTTTTTTTTTTTTAACAAGACTACTTCTTAGGCTGTATAATGTTGTTCTCTTAGGAGGCACATAATGTCTGGTTAGGTTATTTTTTTCATGATGATAGTAGCCATTGATGATTATGACTAGATCCATTAATTTATTGCTTTTTGAAGATAAAAACTTGTCTGCATTTCTTTAAATAGGGTCTACTCTGTGCCACTCCCAAAATAATAAAATTGAAGCCACGCTCTCTGCTACCTTATATTGTCCAGGTAGGAGATCATAGTAATGATTATGACAGCTATTATTAAGTGAGCTCTTACGGTTTTTTATCTAAATTTCTAACATAAAGGTAGGCAACAAGGAAAGTCCAACATTCTCTAAATGCACCCCAAGGGTAATCTCACATTATTGCTTTTATTTTCCCCTCAATGTCCTTTTAGAATAAAGAGCCTAGACACAGGAATGAGGGAAAGAGATGCTGACAATTTTGCAGAATATCCCTTTAATGTAGTTCAAGTTTCAAACATGGAGAAAGTAAAGAAAAACATATTTGCTATTAGAAAGATATGAGCAAAATAAAGACAACTATTTTGAATGTACCATAATAAGGGTTCTGTACTTGAACTAAAAATACACTAAAGTGGGAAGTCTTAGCCGCTGGTCAGCTGCTCAGGTGTTGATTATAAACACTGTAGTGTATTTGGGAATGGTGTTGCTGAATTCACAGTACAGGCATAGGTAGCAATACTAAGATGGTAAGGCAAATGTTAGTGTCTAGCATTTTATTACATAAAAGCAGGCTCAAATTAGCAGCAGTTATAAAATTACCATTATTCATTTTAAGATAGTCCTTTGCCTTCATGTGTATCTTGCCTTTTTTTATACATTGGTCAAAAGGAAATAGTAAGTTCTCAACCTGAATGAGACAAACATTAGTATTTACTTTAACTATTGTATCATTCCGAAATTGACCCAATTTTTTAAAGATGTTTATTGTAGAGTTCTATTGTTTGTTTTTTGTTTGCATATCCATTTTTACTATATATTATTTAACAGAGTGTGGAAGTTAGCCTAATTTGTTGCGGTTTATATGTTTGTTTTTTCCAATAATCATGAATAGGTATTACATTATATTAAATGAGTTTTCCGATTCTGTTGAAAAGATAAAATAGTTTTTCTCGACTAACCTGTTAGAGTTAATTTAAAAATATTTTCAAATGTTAAATTTGCATTGCATTTCTTTCCTGATTTTATTTTCTTGGGTAAAATTTCTTAATTTTTGTTTGTTTGAACCTTTGCATTTAGAGTCATGAATAAAATGAGCATATAATTTTCCTCTCAAAAAATAAGAAAAAATTAAAATGTTCATTGCATACTAAAGTATGAACAAAAAATAAAAAATAAAATGTTCTTTAGGATTTTCTTAGAAAAAACTCTTTCCACAAAATCAACAAACCCTATAACTATGAAAAGTAAAAGAGAAAAATACTCAAAGAAAGAAAATCAGGAGTGAAAGAGGAGACACTGCAACTCCTGCCACAGAAATGTGAAGAATCCCTAGAATAATTATACGTCAACAAAATGGACAACTTAGAGAAAATAAAGTCCTGAAAGCATACAACCTACCAAGACTGAATTATGAAGAATTAAAAAGTCTGAACAGACCAATAACAAATAAGGAGATTAAATTAGTAATCAAAAACCTTCCAGCGGGTGTGGTGGCTCACGCCTGTAATCCCAGCATTTGGCAGGCCAAGGCTGGTGGATCGTTTGAGGTCAGGAGTTTGAGACCAGCCTGGCCAACATGGTGAAACCCTGTGTCTACTAAAAATACAAAAATTAGCTGGGTGTGATGGCACGCACCTGTAATTCCAGCTACTTGGCTGGCTGAGGCAGGAGGATCGCTTGAACCCGGGAGGTGGAGGTTGCAGTGAGTGAGATTGTGCCACTGCACTGCAGCCTGGGTGACAGAGCAAGACTCCATCTCAAAAAACAAACAAACAAACAAAACCCCAAAAAACAAAAAACAAAAAGCCTTCCAACAAAGAAAAGCCCAGACCCAAATGGCTTCACACATGCTTTCTACCAGAATGAGGGACAAAGATGACTTGATAATCTCAAAAGATACAGCAAAAGCATTCCACAAGATTCAACACCCTTTGATGATAACAACTCTCAACAAATTAGGTATAGAAGGAATTTACCTTGACAAAATAAAGGCCATATATAAAAAGCACACAGCTAACATCATACTCAACGGTCACAAACTGAAAGCGTTTTCTCTCAGATCTGGAACAAGGAAATGATGTACATTCTCACCACTTCTATCCAACATAGAATTAGAAGTCCTAGCCAGAGTAAGTAGACAAGAAAAGAAAATAAAAAGTATTCAAATCAGAAAGGAAGAAGTAAAATTATCTCTGTTTGCAGATTACATGATCTTATAGATGTGCAGAAAATTATATTTCTATATATGATATATAGAAAATTCTAAAGATTTACCAAAAAAACTTAGGATAAACAAATTTAACAAAGTTTCAGGATACAATATCGATGTACCAAAATCAGTTGTGTTTCTATACACTACAATAAATTGTCCAAAAAGGAAATTAAGAAAACAATTTTGGCCGGGTGAGGTGGCTCACACCTGTAATCCCAGCAGTTTGGCCGGCCAACGTTTGGATCACTTGAGGCCAGGTGTTTGGGACCAGACTGACCAACATGGTAAAACTCCAGATCTCTAAAAATACAAAAATTAGCTTGGCGTGGTGGCACACGACTGTAATTCCAGCTACTTGGGGGGCTGAGGCAGGAGAATCGCTTGAACCTGGGAGGCGGAGGTTGCAGTGAGTCGAGATTGCGCCACTGCACTCCAGCTTGGGTGACAGAGCAAGATTCTGTCTTAAAAAAAAAAAAAGTTTAACTCATAGATCCAGAAAGTGAATTGGTGGTTGCCAGGAGCTGGTGGGGAGGAGAAAACAGGAAGGTATTCATCAAAGGGTACAAAATTTCAGCTACACAGAGAATAACTGCTAGAGATCTACTGTACAGCATAATGCCAACAGTTAACAATACTGTATTATATTCTTAAAATCTTGCTAAGGAGATATTTTAAGTGTTCTTATTACCAAAATAATAATAATAATAAAGTCAGAGGGTGGAAGGAAACTTTTTGGAGGTGATGAATAGGTTTTTAATTTTTCAATTTGTCAAAATGAAGTATTGTAACTTAATTTCTTACATTCCCCATCCAACACACACGTGTGCACACACACAACTTCCCACAGAGAAAAGGCCAGGCCCAGATGGCTTCATGGTGAATTCCATCCAACATTTAAGGAAGCATTAACATTAATCCTTCACAAATTCTCCAAAAAATATGTAAGACCAGGATTTTGGAGGCTGGGCCTCAAAATGGGGTCATAGTATGAGCCACGATTATCTTGACACCAAAACCAAAGACATCACAAGAAAAGAAAACCACAAATTAATATTCCTTATGACTATAGGTGCAAAAAAATTCAAAAACATACTAGCCCACCTAACAAGGAACATATAAATGGAATATATTTCACAACCACGTGGGATTATACCAGAAATACAAAATTGGTTCAAACTATGAAAACCAATTAATATACCATATTAGTAAAACAAAGGACATAAATCACCTGATCATCTGAGTAGATGCAGAAAAATCATTGACAAAATTTAACACCTATTTATGGTAACAACCCTCAACAAACTAGCAATGAAAGGGAACTTTCTCAACCTGTTAAAGGACATATACAGAAACCCCACAGCTCACATCATACTCAACAGTTAAAGACTGAAAGTGCTCCCATTGAGATCAGGACTTACAAGAATATTCACTCTTGCCACTTCTATTCAACATAGAGGTGTTCTATCCAGGGCATTTAGGCAAGAAAAAGAAATAGCATCCAAATTGGAAAAGAAAAAGTAAAACTATCTCTATTCAACAGATAACATCACAATGTATATAGAAAATCCTGAGGAATACATACATACAAACACATACACACACTATTAGAGCTAATAATTGAGTTCATCAAAGTTGCAGGATATAAGATCAATATATAAAAATTATATCAACTGTATGTCTATATAATATCAATAAACAATCAAAAAATAAAATTCATAGAACAATTTCATTGAAAATAGAATCAGTTTTTAAAAATCTCATTTAAAATTGTATTCTCCAGATAATTTATCTAATTTACTAGACTTAGTACTAAATGCCACTTTTTTCCCTAAAGTCTAAAGTTTGCCATCAAAGTATGAAGATCTACTATCTCTGAGCACCTTCTGATCCTTAGAGCTGGTGCTTCCTATATAAAAGTTTCAAAGTATTCAGCAAGGATAATAAATTCAAGATGAGTATGAAGATTGCTTTCCAAGGTGATAACCTGGAAGGTTGTGGCCTCAAAATTGAGGTAGCATCTCAGTCCACTTTTTAACTCATGTCACATTACTTCACGGTCATATCCTCTATTTTAGTCAATAAAGAAGCCACTCAGCTGAAATAACTCATTATTTTCAAATTTTTTTTTTATTTGCTCCCAACCTGCCTTCCAATCCTTGAAAGGAAAAAATAACACCACCTCCTATACTGTTATAAAACTGCCAAATCTGTTTTTAAAATTTCATGTTTTTTATATTTATTTTCTTAAACATTTGATGACTAATTAAGCTTCCTGGTTGGAAAGGCCTTCCCGAGATGCTGGTTTCTTAAAACTTTGTACTAACCAGGCACTGGAGCCCTTACCTGTATCACCTTATTTCATCCTCACAATAAAGCTATACAGTAGGTGCATTTTTAAATCTCTGCTTTTCTAGATGAGGAAACTGAGGTTCAGAGAAGCATCCAAGCTTCTCAAAGTCAGAAGGTGTCAGAGTGGACATGCAAACCCAAATGTTTCCAGCTCTGGCACCCTCACACTCACCACCCAACCACACCCCTCTTAGGTTGCCCAGTTTCTAGGTACACTGACCAAGCACTTTCCTGGAATATTGAATGGGGGTAGTAAGGCTTAAGTTTAGATCCTGTGTTTAGATCTGGTAGGAAGAGCACAAATGGTTTGTAAGGAAAATCCCTTTAATGGTTACCTAATTTCAGATTGTGGGTGAAAACTCAAATATCCTGTCTCTAGGGGAAGAAGGAAATATTACAATTCATATAAAACTAAACCAACCTGTTTCTCTGTACTGTCCACACATGGTAAGAAAAGTTTCTTTTTCTCTAAATACTTTCATTGTTGCTACTAATCATAGTGCCATTGTTTTTGAGTACTTTATGATTTGTCAAGTACTTTTGTCCCAACTTTTAATTTTGCAAATTTTTGAGTCTACAAGTGTCAAAATAGTAGCACAATGAACACCTACTTGTACATCTCTCACCTATATTCACTTATTATTAAAATTTTGCCTCATTTACTTTATATTTGCTTTTTTCTTTCCTTTTTTGAGACAGAGTCTCACTCTGTCACCCAGACTGGAGTGCAGTGGTGCGATCTCTACTCACTGCATCCTCCGCCTCCTGGGTTCAAGTGATTCTCCTGCCTCAGCCTCCCGAGTAGCTGGAATTACAGGCACCCACCACCATGCCTGGCTAATTTTTGTATTATTAGTAGAGACGGGGTTTCACCATGTTGGCCAGCCTGGTCTCAAACTCCTGACCTCAAGTGATTGGCCCACCTTGGCCTCCCAAAGTGCTGGGATTACAGGCATGAGCCACTGCACCCGGCCTATTTGTATATTTTTAATGAGACATTTGGGAGTAAGTGCAGACATTATGATACTTTGTTCTTAAATATTTCAGCAGCATTCTCTGAAGAACAAAGATTTTCTTCTTAATCATCAGCATTATTACATCTATGAAAATTAAAAATAATTCTTTAATTCTATCTAATATCCAGCCAATATTTAGATTTTCTCAGTTGTACTCGAATGTGTTTTACAGCTTTGGTAAATCCAGAATTCAATCAAGGTTCATTTATTTATTTGGTTCTCATATCTCCTTAGTTATTTTTATCTAAAACTGTCCCACCACCATTGTTTGTTTTTCATGACATGGACATTTTGAAGAGTAGAGGACTGTTGTGTTAGAAAATGCCTCACTTTCTAATTTCCTTATAATGAGATCCGAGATAAACATCTTTCTCAAGAATGTTATGTAGGAAATGTGTAGTTCTTATTTGCTTATATTGAGGAAACATTGTGTTGTCTCGTTTTGGATACTGACAGTTTTGATCTTTCGATTAAAGAGGTGACTGCCATTTCTCTCCATTGTAAAGGTATATTTTCCTCTTTGTAATTAGTATGTAATCTGTTGTGTAATAATTTGAGACTGCGTAAGTATCCTATTCTCCAGTTAACTTTCACCCAACTATTTTAGCATCCATAGATGATTCTTTTCTTTTCAGAATCAATTATTAAAATAGAGAGTGGCTGGGCACAGTGACTCAAGCCTGCAATCTCAGCACTTTGGGAACCTAAGGTGGGCAGATCACTTGAGCCCAGGGCATCAAGACTAGCCCGGGCAACATGACAAACCCCATCTCTACTAAAAAAAAAAAAAAAAAAATTAGCCAGGCATGGTGATGTGCACCTGTAGTCCCAGCTACTCAGGAGGCTTAGGTGGGAGGATAGACTGAGCCCAGGAGGTCAAGGCTGTAATGAGCTGTGATCACACCACTGTGCTCCAGCCTGGGCAACAGAGCAAGACCCTGACTAAAAAAAAATTAATAAAATAAAATGGGAGGTGCAGTATGTATAAGAAAGTGCTATTTCTTATACATTAATTAGGTGACATTATTCCATAAAGATGAGCAGATCACGGTCCATATTTTCTATAAAGGGGAGCTTTCTTTTAATTATTTTAAAAATACTTGTATTTATTTAGCCTTTCCTGATAATAAAACTCATTTATGTTCAATACAAAAAACTTTGAAAAATATAGAAAAGACCAAAGAAGAAAAGCCTGTCCATTCATAATGCCACCATTATCACTCACCATGAACATTTGGTGTGTATATATCCTTTATTCTTTTTCTATTTATGTGTATTGTTTATCAAAATGGGATTATTTTCTATCAGCTTTTGTGAAGCCTGTTTTTTTACTTATGATTTTCAGATACAAGTAAATCTTATATGACTATTTATTTATTTATTTGAGACAGAGTCTTGCTCTGTCACCCAGGCTGAGTGCAGTGGCACAATCTCGGCTCACTGCAACCTCTGCCTCCCGGGTTCAAGAGATTCTCCTGCCTTGGCTTCCTGAGTAGCTGGGATTACAGGTGCTCGGGACCACACCTGGCTAATTTTTGTATTTTTAGTAGCGACAGGGTTTCACCATGTTGGCCAGGCAGGTCTGGAACTCCTGACCTCGTTTAGTGATCCTCCCACCTCGGCCTCCCAAAGTGCTGGGATTACAGGTGTGAGCCACCACACCCCGCTCTTATATGACAACATTTTAAATAATTGTATAGAATCCTATCAAGGACAACTATGATGATCTATTTATCATATCTACCATTGTTGAAAATTTTGGTTATTTCCAATGTTTTATACTGTAAATACTGCTTCAATGAGTATTCTTGTTAACTCTTTAAATGCTTCTTTGAGTATTTCTTGTGGAGTTTTTGAGTTAAAGCCTAGGTAAAACATTTTAAATAATTTAATATTATGAATTTCTGTAAGAGAATATTGCTTAATATTTCCAAACTTTGACAAGACAACTTAATACGCTGAAACTTTAAAATCTTGTTCCCACCCGTAAGACACAGATTCCAAAGAAGAGATGCAGATCTCAAATACCTACTGGGATTATTATGTTGTTTGGGAGTGAGCTGCTTACACAGCGTTTTACTGGAGTTCATTAGAACTTCAATAAGCAGGTTGTCCATTAGATGTAAGAATCTGAACAAATTAGTCACATGGTCTCTATGGCAACGAGTAAATGCTGTTAGAATCTGTGAACACTCCACAGAACAATCCAGCAAAATGGGCCTGCCTCATGCAAAGGAGCATTTTTACCAATCCCTTTCATTGTGTTTCTGGTATAAGAACCTTAGTCTAAATGCACCTTTTTCTGATGAAATTTTTGTCATGGGCAGTGTGAAAATTAAAGGAACAATTCAAAGCCAGGGAGCAGTGATTGCATGTGATGAATGATGAGCCTGAGAAAACAGCAGCCAACAACCCTTACACAGTCCGTACCTGGCCCTTTGCTAAAATGCTGTGTTCATGTTGCCTCATTTAAACCTCAGGACAAACTTGTGAGTGAAGTGCCATTATTATTCCTGTTTCCAGCTGGGCCAGGAAAAAAAAAAAAAAAAAGAGCTGAGATTAAGAGAAATGACCAAGAAAAGTTCTCCATGTGTGTTGAGTTTTCTATGTGGAATCCCCCGGAGAGTGGGGATCCTGACTTATTTTTCTCAGTCTCCCTTATGGGTAGCCACAGTGCTCAATTCATATCATTAAATGATTGTGAAAGGGAAGTAAATATAGGTTTCTGGATTTGTCATTTTATCAGGTGAGCTGGGAGGAATATTCTTCAGCAAGAGGCCACATGCTTTACCTCACAGGGGACAGAGGGATCAGGGATAAAGATGGCTACTCTGGTTGTCTGGTAGAGCTGATGATGTTGCTGATGCGTTGGGTCAGAGGTTGTGAATGCTGTGGTTATTGCTATTGAGCTTGGGGCTGAGAGAGTTTGGAGAAGATGCTGGACCACCTCAGATACATCAGAATTATATTTCTAAAGTTTAGAAAATGCAAACAACCAAAAATAAAAAATAAAACTTATGCACAGTCTCATATTTTGGAGTATATTCTTCTAGTCTTCTTTCTTCTTATATGTAAACTTTTTTAATACAAGTGAGTTCAGGGAGAAATGCTCTAGCATAACTTGCCTTTTTCACTCAACATTGTAATAGAAATATTTTTTTCTGTGCAATTAAATATATAAATTCATTTTTAAAATTTGAGTTTATCATGACCAATAAATACACAGATCTTACATGAACAGCTCAATGGATCTACATATATATAAACCCCTCTAACCATCTAGATCAAGATATAGGATATTTCTAGCCTCCTGGGCTCTCTCATGTCCTTAGACCTCAGACCTCATACCTCTGTGAAAGCTGTACTTCTTTCATGAACGGTAGACTAAATTTCTACGCCTAAAGACAGTTTCAAGGACTGAGACTAAATTCTAAGGAGCAATTAATTCCAAGGAGCAGATGGTGGCAAGCAGATACCATGAGACATCCTGACTCAGAGCTTGTTGACCACAAAAATCACAGGAGTGTTGAGAAATAGAAATGAAGACCTAGGTTTTACGGACTCATTGCTATTACATGCCATTGATTCTGAGACCTGATTCAGCAAACTTGCTTTCTTACCACATTTCCACTCTGATCCTTGACCCAATGAAACAATCCCAACTAAATTTTGCTCAGAAAGTCACTCTCCCTGGAGTGCTCCCTATTGCAGTAGCAGTGAATGAAGTGCTTGTCTCTGCCTCTAACTGCTCTCAAATTTTTAGTTTGAGCCCCTCATCCAGAAGTAGCCATTATTCTGACTTCTAAACTGCAGGTCAATTTTGCCTGTCCTTGAACTTCATACAAATGGAATCATGGTTTGTACTCTTTTGTGTCTGCCTTCTTTCTCTCAAAATAATGTCTGGACAATTCATTTATGTTGTTGTATGGATCTTCTTTTTTATTGCTATACAGAATTCCATTGTATGACTACACCCAGAATTTATCCATTCTTCTGTTAATGGTGACTGATGTTTCCAATTTGAGATTACATGAATAACACTGCTCTTGATATAGGAGGTAGACAGAAATTATTTAGGCAGATAGTGAGGGCAAAAGAGTCCTTGGCAGAACTTCCCTTCTAACAAAAAGCAGCCCAAGAAATTACTTTTTTCTAACAAAGAGCAGTCTGAAAGCTCAAGCTGCAAACATAGATAAGGAAGCTGGAAGCTTGCACAGGGGGAGGCCTGCAGCTGCACTGATAGAAAGGGGCAACCTGGGGGCCAGGCATGTCCACCATGGGGTTCTACCTTCCCTTTCTTATTAGCACATGTATAGTAAGAAAGAACTGGGCAACATGGAGAAGCTCAGGCAGAGAACCCACCTGCATAATAAAAGATTGTGGTGGGGGCTGCCAGAGATTTGTGCCCTTACGCAGGTGGTGCACCTGGTTCTAACCAGTTTTTCATGCCCTATGTAGATCAGACACTGCCTCACCGCTAGCTCATCTATAAAAACCCCTGCATTTCATCATGGATTGGCAACCCATTTTTCCAGGACCCCTCTCTGTGGCAGAGAGCTATTCTCTTTCTTCGTCTATTAAATTTCAGCTCTTAACCTCGCTCTGTGTTTCCGTGTCCTTGATCTCCATGGCTGTGAGACAATGAACCTCGAGTGTCACCCCAGACCATGAGGCCACTTCACTGTGAATATTTTTCTGCATGTCTTGTAGTGAACATATGCAGAGATTTATAGTATATACAAATAGTACGTGTGTGGATACTATATATAAATAGGAGTGTTTATACACACACACAGAAATGCTGAGTCATAGGTATATGTATTTTAAGATTTAGTAGACATAGCCACACAGTTTTAAAATTACCAAATTATACTCTTGCCACAATAGAGTGAAATGTTCCAATGAAATGAAAGTTACAGTCATTCCACATCCTCACCAACACTTGTTATTGTGAACCTCCTAAATTTTAACCATTCTAGTAAGTGTGTAGAAGTATTTCATTGTAGTTTTAATATAATTTTAAGGGCCACACGGTAATTCATTATGTCAAGATGCCTAAGTATTTTGCTTTACCAATCCCTTATTTTTGAACATTCAAGAGTTTTTTTCCCCCCATTTTTCATTTTAGAGAACCCCTGGATGATCATCTTTTAACATAAACATTTTTCTTAGTATTGGGAATGAAAGAGGCATTATCACTATAGATCTCACACAGATTAAAAAGATAAGAAAAAATGTTATGAACAATTTTATATCAACAAACTCAACAATGTAGATTAAATAGAAAAATTTGATGAAAAATATAACTTTCCCAAGCTGTCACAAAATACAACAAAAAGCCTGAATAATTCAATATATACTTCAGAAATTGAAATAATTTAAAAACCTTACCACAAAGAAAGCTTCTGGCCCAAGTAGTTTCAGTGGTAAACCTCACCACACATTTAAGAAAGAACACCAAATCAACCAAAATTCTTTCAGAAAAGAGGGGAGGAGGCAACACTTTCCAGCTTGTTTTATAAGGTCAGTATAACATGATTATCAAAACTAAAAAATTACAAACTAATATTCCTCATAAACACATATGTAAAAATCCATAATAAAATTTTAGCAAATCAAATCCATCAATACATAAACAGGATTATACCTAATGACCAAGTGAGATTTATCCTAGGAATGGAAGGTTGATTTAACATTTCAAAAGTAATATAGGCCGGGTGGGGTGGCTCACGCCTGTAATCCCAGCACTTTGGGAGGCCAAGGTGGGCAGATCACGAGGTCAGGAGATCGAGACCATCCTGGCCAACATGGTGAAACCCTGTCTCTACTAAAAATAGAAAAATTAGCTGGGCATGGTGGGGCATGCCTGTAGTCCCAGCTACCTGGGAGGCTGAGGGAGGAGAATCACTTGAACCTGGTAGGTGGAGGTTGCAGTGAGCCAAGATAGTACTCCAGCCTGGTGACAGAGTGAGACTCCATCAAAAAAAAAAAAAAAAAAAGAAAAGAAAAAGAAAAGTAATATAATATACCCTATTTACAGAAAAAAAAGAAAAAGCCATATGATCATTTTAATAGATGCAGAAAAAGATTTTGACAAAATTCAACATTCACTCATGTTAAAATCTCTGAGCAAACTAGAATTAGGAGGCAACTTCCTCAGTCTGATAAAGAACATCTATAAAATCTTACAGTTAACATCATAATAGACAAATTTTGAATAATGCCTTCTCCATAAGGTCAAGAACAAGGCAAGAATGTTCCTATTCACTGCTTCTATTTAACATTGAACTGGAGGTCCTAGCTATTACAATAAAAGTGAAGAAAAATAAATAAGAGCCCTGGGCTGAAAAGAAGTAAAACTGTACCCCATACATATACACGAATGTTATGTATCAATTCAAAAAGAAGTAAAACTGGATCTACTTGTGGGAGACATAATTATTTATATGCTAATTCATAAAGTATCCACAAAATGAGTATTAACACCAATGAGTGAATTTAGCAAGGTTGCACAAGATTAGTACACAGAAATCAATTGTATTTTTATACACTAGCATCAAATAATTATAAAATGAAATTCAAAAGCAGTTCTATTTACAATAACATCAAAACCACAAACTATTTAGAAATAAATATAACAAAAGACATAAATGCCTATAAAATAGTGCTGAGAGAAATAAAAGAAAATTCAAACAAATGGAGATATGCTCTATGTTCATGAATTGGAATATATTCCATGTTCATGGATGTTCAATGCTGTTAGCATGTCCAAATTGATCTATAGCAAATGCAGTTTCAATCATTGTTCCACTAAGGTGTTTTCCATAATAAATTCAACAGCTAATTCTAAGACATATGAAAATGCAAAGAACTTACAATATCAAAAATAATATTTAAAAAGACAAAGTCTGAGGAGATATACTGCCTGACTTAATGACTTATAATAAAGCTAAAGTAATCAAGACAATGTGGTACTGATATGAGGATTCACAAATTGATCAATGGAACAAACAGCCCAGAAAAAGACCCATACTCATGTAATCATTTAATATTTGTAAAGGCACCCAATAGATCCAATGGAGAAAGGAAAGTCTTATTGACAAATGGTGCAGGAATAACTGGAAATCCACTAATTCAGGATGGATCATATACCTAAATGTTAAAGCTAAAATATAGGAGAATATCTTCATGTCCTTTGGGCATTTAAAACTTTCTGTTTCTTAGACAGAACACAGAAAGCAATAGCTATAAAATAAAAAATAACTTATCTAAATTAACTTTATCTAAATTAAAATTTAAAAAGTAATTAATTAAAGTTTATTTATTTAACTTTATCTAAATTAAAACATCTGCTCCTCATATCATTAGGAAAATGAATAGGCAAGACACACACTGGGATAAAATATTTGAAAAACATTTATCTGAAAAAGGACTGGTATCCAAGATCTACAAAGAACCTCTATAACTCATATATAATAAAAAGGCGAACAAATTTTAAATGAGTAAACATTTGACTAGATGCTTTACCACAGAAAATATATGAATAGCCAATAAACACATAAAAATGTCCAGCATTATTAGTCATCAAGGAAATGCAAATTAAAACTATAACAATTTGCAACCATACACCCACCTGAATGGCCAAAATTTGAAAGACTGCTAACATCAAATACTTTATCAGCATAACTGTAGAGCAACAAGAACTCATACATTTTTGCTAAGGGTATAAAATAGTACAACCACTTTGGAAAAAGCTCTGGCAATTTCTTGTGAAATTAAACATATACAAGCCCTATGACCCAGAAATTCCACTCCTCAGAAGACAGTGTCCTCAAAAAGACTTGTACAAAAGTGTTCCAATTTATTTATGACAGGCAAAATCTGGGACCAGCCCAGGCAATGTCAATAGTATACTACAAATTGCAGTATATTCATGTAATTGAATATGACTTAGCAATAAAAGTACAAACTATAAAAACATGGATGAACAAAGAAAGCCTTATACAGAAAAAAATTGTACTGTATGGTTCCATATATAAGACTTCCTAGAATAAACAAAACTAATCTATAGTGTAAAAAAGTCAGAACAATGGTTGTCCCTGGGTAGGGTAGGGGTGAACAGAGATGTACTGGGAGCTTTCTCAGATGATAGTAAAGGTCTGCATATTGACAGGGGTTTTGTTTACATAGTTATATACGTTTGTCAGAAATAACACTTTTTTTGTTCATCTCGTTATAGTAAATTTTATCTTAAAAGAAAAAACGATTAAAACTATGAACAAATATTGAGCTAATTAATAATATGCATACTGTACTTAGGAGGAAGTGTACTTGTGTCTGCAATTTAATTTGAAATACATTTTTAAAAATAGGTTGGGTTGATAGATGGCTAGAGAAGAGTAAAAAATAGCTAGATAGATAAGTGATGAAGCAAATTTAGCAAAATATTAATGTCAACTGTAGAATTTAGGTGGTGGATGTATAGGTATTCTTTCAACTTTTCTGTATGCTTGAAATTTTTCATAATAAAATGTGAGAAAAAAATCTTTGCGATATCTTTAATGGGTCTTGAGAACACCCAGGCAGAATTTTCTGGGTCAAAATCTATGAAAGTTTTAAAATATATTACCAAATTTCCTTCCAGAAAGATCATCTAATATACACTCCCACAAGCAGTGTAGGAGACTGCCAGTTTCCCTGAACCTTTGTCAAGGCTGAATACTATGATTTTATTAAGTATTTGCCAATGTGACAAGTGAAAAATATTTCATTGTTAGTCTTATTTGCTCTTTGGTTACTAGTAAGATTGACTTTCTTCTTATGTTTATTGGTCCTTTTCCCATTTTAAAATCTGAATGTCTTTTTCTATTTTTGTATTTTGTATTAGTTTTTTGTATTATTTTGTATTGATTTTTAAGAGCTTGGTAAAAAGATATTATTCCTTTAGCTATCAAATATGCTGAAAACAGTCCAGGTGCAGTGGCTCACACCTGTAATCCCAGCACTTTGGGAGGCCAAGGCGGGTGGATCACTTAAGGCCAGGAGTTCAAGACCAGCCTGGCCAAAATGGCGAAATCCCATCTCTACTAAAAATACAAAAAATTAGCTGGGTGTGGTGGCATGTGCCTGTAATCCCAGCTATTCGGGAGGCTGAGGCAGGCAAATCGCTTGAACCCAGGAGGCAGAGGTTGCAGTGAGCTGAGATTGTGCTACTGCACTCCAGCCTGGGTGACAGAGTGAGACTCTGTCTCAAATAAATAAATAAATAAATAAATAAATAAATAAATAAAAAGGCTGAAAACAGGAGCTGCTTTTTAAAACTCAAAACAGTGGATTCCATGTGACAGCTCTTTGGGGAAGAGGCAATATCATGGGGTGCTGTGTGAATTATGCAATAAAAAGCTCTCAATGTGCAGGCCTTTCATCTACCTGGTATTGATTAAAATACCTGCCTCCCATTAGAGAACTTGAGTTAAGGTATTATTTTAACAGATCAAAACTCTGGGAAAATGCCCCACTAATCCAGTTTTTTGTATTATTTAATATTTAAAGGAAAACCTGTTCCTCTCTATCAAGAAATCACTTACTGGATTTTCAGTACTGCCCTGAGACACCATGGAAAAAGATAAGTTGGTTTTGATGGAAAAAGTAGATACAGCATAAACAACCAGAGTAAAAAGATGGTAAAATCCCTACAGAAGGGAAGGAGGTCCTAGAAGCTAGATAAATGGAGGTAATAAAGCAAGATAATCCTCAAATCAGGAACTATTTCGTCATTACAGACCAGTGTCCACAGCGTACTTGCCTGGAACATACTCTATAAATGGAACCAGATATGGAATAAGACCAAGGAAAAAGTAGTATTATAATTCTTCTCTGAGGGGGGCTGGGTGCCGTGGCTCACACCTGTAATCCCATCACTTTGGGAGGTTGAGGCAGGTGGATCACTTGAGGTCAGGAGTTTGAGACCAGCCTGGCCAACATAGTGAAACCACATCTCTACCAAAAATTCAAAACATTAGCTGGGCATGGTGGCACACATCTGTAATCCCAGCTACTCGAGAGGCTGAGGCAGGAGAATTGCTTGAGCCTGGGAGGCAGAGGTTGCAGTGATTGGAGATCACAACACTGCACTCTAGCCTGGGTACCAGAGGGAGACTCTATCTCAAATAATAATAATAATAATAATAATAATAATAATAATAATAATAATAATTCCTCTCTGAGAGACTGTGATATGTAGCTGAAAATAATTGAGAATACTATGTAAGAACCTCATAAAAGACACATTTGAGTAAAGGCTGGTAGTTCAAGTGGAGTGTTGTGGCTCATGCCTGTAATTGCAACACTTCGGGAGGCTGAGGCAGGCAGATCACTTGAGCCCAGGAATTTGAGACCAGCCTAGGCAACACAGTGAGACCCTGTCTCTACAAAAAATAGAAAAAATTAGCCAGGTGTGGTGGCATGCATCTGTAGCCCTAACTACTCAGGAGGCTGAGGTAGGAGTATCACTTAAGTCTGGGAAGTCAAGGCTGCAGTGAGCAATGATCACATCACTGCACTTGAGCCTAGGCAACAGAGTGAGACTCCATCTCAAAATAAATAAATAAATAAATAAATAACCAAAAATTTTAAAAAGCAGATAGTCTCTGACCACCCCACTAAGGAAGGTGAGTCAGATCAACTGCAGTTTGCCTTCTGTCTCAGAGAGGCATGCAAGTTTAGGGCCTGAGCAGAATTGCTTGAAATGTCAAGAAGAGGCTGAGCACCATCATCTGTGTCTTTCCTCTCTATTCCTCCCCTGTGGAGGGAAAGTTAAATATTAAATTTGAACTCAATTGAACGTGAACACAAACAATAGTCACCAAGTCCTGGAACAGGTTGCATGAGCCCCTTGGGGCATTCATCCAGCACAGTTTTGGAGAAATCTGTTCCTGTATGTAAGTTATTGAAAAACAACAGACAATCGCAAAAACAAGTTGACCTTTCTGTGTTCCTTGAGCCCTCATGACACGGCCTCGTGCCAAACAACTGGTTACAAAAAGAGATAGGGTCCCAGACTGTGCTGAAGCTTCATGAGACCTCTTCTTGTCTGTGCACGGATGAGTGGCTGACTCTGGAGCCCAGGCTGTTACTTCCCAGTCTGGTGATGAATTCTCCATAGTCTGGTGAGTGTAAATATATATATATTTTTTCCCTTCTCCCCTTCCCATTGCAATTTTCTTATTATATCATTTGCTTATTATATTTGCATTGCCATTTACATGGGATAAAGGTTGTTTACCCTTAAAGGTATTTGGTGTGTGTGTCTTTTCTTTTGCCCTCGCAGGTTTCCAGCACAGAACATCCCCTAGGCAGCAATCAGTCTTTCCTCCAAATAAATGTTGAAGAAGTGTATAAAAAATATTGTTTGAAGGGCTACTGGAGGGGCTACCTGTCTCAATCTCACCCTGGCTCCAGGGAGGTGGTGGGATGGGAAGTAGAGAAATACTGTAGTTTTCATGGGGCCCACTTTACTACTCAAGCTTGCTCCCTCCTTCTTTCTTTACAAAAGAAAGAAAAAAAGAAAAGAAGGGTGAAAGCCAGAAGATTTATTTGGTTAAAAAAAAGAAATTCTACCAGGCACGGTGGCTCATACCTGTAATCCCAGCACTTTGGGAGGCTGAGGTGGGTGGATCACAAGGTCAGGAGATCGAGACCATCCTGGCTAACACGGTGAAACCCCATCTCTACTAAAAATACAAAAAATTAGCCAGGCATGGTGGTGGGTGCTTGTAGTCCCAGCTACTTGGGAGGCGGAGGCAGGAGAATGGCATGAACCTGGGAGGTGGAGCTTGCAGTGAGTCAAAATCGTGCCACTGCACTCCAGCCTGGGCGACAGAGTGAGATTCCATCTCAAAAAAATAAAAATAAAAATAAGAATAAAAAATAAAAATTCCTTTCCTTGCTTGTAAAGCAAGGATAATAGATAGAAGCCTACTATCTCTTATCCACGATTCCAAAATCTGAAAAGCTCTGATAATCAAAAATGTTTTTCATATCTAATTTGGCAGCAAAACCTGATCTGAGATGAGGTGAAACTAACTATAGTCTTTATTTATCTTAATTAATGGGAATATTCACACATTTCACTACAGAAATATTTACGTATATGATTTCAGTATGCTGCCCCAGGCCTTGCTAGGGGAGTAGAGATGGTTCTAAGTACCATATGACCTTTCCAAAAACTGAAAAATTCTGACTTCTAAAACATTTTAGCCATGTGGGATTTAGATAAGGAATAATGTTCAAAGATTTGCCACCAGGTACAAGAAAAGAATGTTCACTAAGCACTCAGAACAGTGCCTGACACCTGGAAAACAGGAGTTTCATTCCTCTCCTTGTAGTTTTGCCTATGAATAAGGAGCCCTTTTTCAAAAGTTAGCTCCAGGCAGCTGAACCTGGGCCAGATATTACAAATACAAAACTGGGTGAAAAAATATTTGCAGTTTACTTAACAGACAAAGAGTTAATATCCCTAATATGTAAGGAGTTCTTAAAGAAGAAAAAGGCCAAATCTGGTAGGAAAACAGGCAAAATACATGAATGGACAGTTCACAGGAAAAAATAAATGCTCCTTAAATATTAAAAAAATAAAATTTAAAAATAAAATATTAAAATTAAATTTTATTTGGAAATATTACTATGAACTCATAATTTTTTAAAAATTGTATTTCCTAGTTGTGTGTACTAGAAGTCCTGGAATCAGTGGCATCTAATAGTAAGATGCCATTGCTTCTGGAGCCTAAATCTTGATTTCTAAACATCATTCTTGATATAAGGGGCTCCTTGGTAAAAATGATATATCCACAGGTGGAGTACAAAAAATACCGGGCGAACTTGGGACTTCTTTTTGCATCAGAAAGTAAACAAGTGATCAAAAAATGATAATGACATGTCAAAAGGACACAAAAGTCAACTTGAGAGAGCTCTCACTGGCCAAATTTGAGACAATTTCTGTATCAAAAAGAATAATCAAGGCACCATGGAGGAGCCAAGATGGCCGAATAGGAACAGCTCCGGTCTACAGCTCCCAGCGTGAGTGACGCAGAAGACGGGTGATTTCTGCATTTCCATCTGAGGTACCGGGTTCATCTCACTAGGGAGTGCCAGACAGTGGGGGCAGGACAGTGGGTGCAGCACACCGTGTGCCAGCCAAAGCAGGGTGAGGCTTTGCCTCACTGGGAATCGCAAGGGGTCAGGGAGTTCCCTTTCCTGGTCAAGGAAAGGGGTGACAGACGGCACCTGGAAAATCCAGCCACTCCCACCCGAATACTGCGCTTTTCCGACCAGCTTAAAAAACGGCGCCCACAAGATTATATCCCGCACCTGGCTTGGAGGGTCCTACGCCCACAGACTCTCGCTGATTGCTAGCACAGCAGTCTGAGATCAAACTGCAAGGTGGCAGCGAGGCTGGGGGAGGGGCGCCCACCATTGCCCAGGCTCGCTTAGGTAAACAAAGCAGCCGGGAAGCTCGAACTGGGTGGAGCCCACCACAGCTCAAGGAGGCCTGCCTGCCTCTGTAGGCTCCACCTCTGGGGGCAGGGCACAGACAAACAAAAAGACAGCAGTAACCTCTGCAGACTTAAATGTCCCTGTCTGACAGCTTTGAGGAGGGTAGTGGTTCTCCCAGCACGCAGTGGGAGATCTGAGAACGGGCAGATTGCCACCTCAAGTGGGTCCCTGAACCTTGATCCCCAGCAGCCTAACTGGGAGGCACCCTCCAGTAGGGGCAGACTGACACCTCACATGGCCGGGTACTCCTCTGAGACAAAACTTCCAGAGGAACGATCAGATAGCAGCATTCACGGATCACGAAAATCTGTGGTTCTGCAGACACCGCTGCTGATACACAGGCAAACAGGGTCTGGAGTGGACCGCTAGCAAACTCCAACAGACCTGCAGCTGAGGGTTCTGTCTGTTAGAAGGAAAACTAACAAACAGAAAGGACATCCACACCAAAAACCCATCCGTACATCACCATCATCAAAGACCAAAAGTAGATAAAACCACAGAGCAGAAAAACTGGAAACTCTAAAAAGCAGAGTGCCTCTCCTCCTCCAAAGGAACGCAGTTCCTCACCAGCAATGGAACAAAGCTGGACGGAGAATGACTTTGACAAGTTGAGAGAAGAAGGCTTCAGACGACCAAACTACTCCGAGCTACAGGAGGAAATTCAAACCAAAGGCAAAGAAGTGGAAAACTTTGAAAAAAATTTAGACGAATGTATAACTAGAATAAACAATACAGAAGGGTGCTTAAAGGAGCTGATGGAGCTGAAAGCCAAGGCTCGAGAACTACGTGAAGAATGCAGAAGCCTCAGGAGCTGATGTGATCAACTGGAAGAAAGGGTATCAGTGATGGAAGATGAAATGAATGAAATGAAGTGAGATGGGAAGTTTAGAGAAAAAAGAATAAAAAGAAATGAACAAAGCCTCCAAGAAATATGGGACTATGTGAAAAGACCAAATCTGTGTCTGATTGGTGTACCTGAAAGTGACAGGGAGAATGGAACCAAGTTGGAAAACACTCTGCAGGATATTATCCAGGAGAACTTCCCCAATCTAGCAAGGCAGGCCAACATTCAGATTCAGGAAATACAGAGAACACCACAAAGATACTCCTCGAGAAGAGCAACTCCAAGACACATAACTGTCAGATTCACCAAAGTTGAAATGAAGGAAAAAATGTTAAGGGCAACCAGAGAGAAAGGTCAGGTTACCCTCAAAGGGAAGCCCATCAGACTAACAGTGGATCTCTCGGCAGAAACTCTACAAGCCAGAAGAGAGTGGGGGCCAATATTCAACATTCTTAAAGAAAAGAATTTTCAACCCAGAATTTCATATCCAGCCAAACTAAGCTTCATAAGTAAAGGAGAAATAAAATACTTTACAGACAAGCAAATGCTGAGAGATTTTGTCACTACCAGGCCTGCCCTAAAAGAGCTCCTGAAGGAAGCACTAAACATGGAAAGGAACAACCGGTACCAGCCGCTGCAAAATCATGCCAAAATGTAAAGACCATCGAGACTAGGAAGAAACTGCATCAACTAACGAGCAAAATAACCAGCTAAATCATCATGACAGGATCAAATTCACACATAACAATATTAACTTTAAATGTAATGGACTAAATGCTCCAATTAAAAGACACAGACTGGCAAATTGGATAAAGAGTCAAGACCCATCAGTGTGCTGTATTCAGGAGACCCATCTCATGTGCAGAGACACACATAGGCTCAAAAATAAAAGGATGGAGGAAGATCTACCAAGCAAATGGAAAACAAAAAAAGGCAGGGGTTGCAATCCTAGTCTCTGATAAAACAGACTTTAAACCAACAAAGATCAAAAGAGACAAAGAAGGCCATTACATAATGGTAAAGGGATCAATTCAACAAGAAGAGCTAACTATCCTAAATATATATGCACCCAATACAGGAGCACCCAGATTCATAAAGCAAGTGCTGAGTGACCTACAAAGAGACTTAGACTCCCACACAATAATAATGGGAGACTTTAACACTCCTCTGTCAACATTAGACAGATCGACGAGACAGAAAGTTAACAAGGATACCCAGGAATTGAACTCAGCCCTGCACCAAGCAGAACTAATAGACATCTACAGAACTCTCCACCCCAAATCAAAAGAATATACATTTTTTTCAGCACCACACCACACCTATTCCAAAATTGACCACATACTTGGAAGTAAAGCACTCCTCAGCAAATGTAAAAGAACAGAGATTATAACAAACTGCCTCTCAGACCACAGTGCAATCAAACTAGAACTCAGGATTAAGAAACTCACTCAACACCGCTCAACTACATGGAAACTGAACAACCTGCTCCTGAATGACTACTGGGTACATAACGAAATGAAGGCAGAAATAAAGATGTTCTTTGAAACCAACGAGAACAAAGACACAACATACCAGAATCTCTGGGATGCATTCAAAGCAGTGTGTAGAGGGAAATTTATAGCACTAAATGCCCACAAGAGAAAGCAGGAAAGATCCAAAATTCACACCCTAACATCACAATTAAAAGAACTAGAAAAGCAAGAGCAAACACATTCAAAAGCTAGCAGAAGGCAAGAAATAACTAAAGTCAGAGCAGAACTGAAGGAAATAGAGACACAAAAAACCCTTCAAAAAATTAATGAATCCAGGAGCTGGTTTTTTGAAAGGATCAACAAAATTGATAGACCGCCAGCAAGACTAATAAAGAAAAAAAGAGAGAAGAATCAAATAGATGCAATAAAAAATGATAACGGGGATATCACCACCAATCCCACAGAAATACAAACTACCGTCAGAGAATACTACAAACACCTCTACGCAAATAAACTAGAAAATCTAAAAGAAATGGATAAATTCCTCGACACATACATCCACCCAAGACTAAACCAGGAAGAAGTTGAATATCTGAATAGACCAATAACAGGATCTGAAATTGTGGCAATAATCGACAGCTTACCAACCAAAAAGAGTCCAGGACCAGATGGATTCACAGCCGAATTCTACCGGAGGTACAAGGAGGAACTGGTACCATTCCTTCTGAAACTATTCCAATCAATAGAAAAAGAGGAAATCCTCCCTAACGCATTTTATGAGGCCAGCATCATCCTGATACCAAAGCCTGGCAGAGACACAACCAAAAAAGAGAATTTTAGACCAATATCCTTGATGAACATTGATGCAAAAATCCTCAATAAAATACTGGCAAAACGAATCCAGCAGCACATCAAAAAGCTTATCCACCACGATCAAGTGGGCTTCATCCCTGGGATGCAAGGCTGGTTCAATATACGCAAATCAATAAATGTAATCCAGCATATAAACAGAACCAAAGACAAAAACCACATGATTATCTCAATAGATGCAGAAAAGGCCTTTGACAAAATTCAACAACCCTTCATGCTAAAAACTCTCAATAAATTCGGTATTGATGGGACGTATCTCAAAATAATAAGAGCTATCTATGACAAACCCACAGCCAATATCATACTGAATGGGCAAAAACTGGAAGCATTCCCTTTGAAAACTGGCAGAAGACAGGGATGCCCTCTCTCACCACTCCTATTCAACGTAGTGTTGGAAGTTCTGGCCAGGGCAATTAGGCAGGAGAAGGAAATAAAGGGTATTCAATTAGGAAAAGAGGAAGTCAAATTGTTCCTGTTTGCAGACGACATGATTATATATCTAGAAAACCCCACTGTCTCAGCCCAAAATCTCCTTAAGCTGATAAGCAACTTCAGCAAAGTCTCAGGATACAAAATCAATGTATAAAAATCACAAGCATTCTTATACACCAATAACAGACAAACAGAGAGCCAAATCATGAGTGAACTCCCATTCACAATTGCTTCAAAGAGAATAAAATACCTAGGAATCCAACTTACAAGGGATGTGAAGGACCTCTTCAGGGAGAACTACAAACCACTGCTCAGTGTAATAAAAGAGGATACAAACAAATGGAAGAACATTCCATGCTCATGGGTAGGAAGAATCAATATTGTGAAAATGGCCATACTGCCCAAGGTAATTTATAGATTCAATGCCATCCTCCTCAAGCTACCAATGACTTTCTTCACAGAATTGGAAAAAAATACTTTAAAGTTCATATGGAACCAAAAAAGAGCCCACATCGCCAAGTCAATCCTAAGCCAAAAGAACAAAGCTGGAGGCATCACGCTACCTGACTTCAAACTATACTACAAGGCTACGGTAACCAAAACAGCATGGTACTGGTACCAAAACAGAGATATACATCAATGGAATAGAACAGAGCCCTCAGAAATAACGCTGCATATCTACAACCATCTGATCTTTGACAAACCTGAGAAAAACAAGCAATGGGGAAAGGATTCCCTATTTAATAAATGGTGCTGGAAAAACTGGCTAGCCATATGTAGAAAGCTGAAACTGGATCCCTTCCTTACACCTTATACAAAAATTAATTCAAGATGGATTAAAGACTTAAACGTTAGACCTAAACCCATAAAAACTCTAAAAGAAAACCTAGGCATTACCATTCAGGACATAGGTATGGGCAAGGACTTCATGTCTAAAACACCAAAAGCAATGGCAACTAAAGACAAAATTGACAAATGGGATCTAATTAAATTAAACAGCTTCTGCACAGCAAAAGAAACTACCATCAGAGTGAACATGCAACCTACAAAATGGGAGAAAATTTTCGCAACCTACTCATCTGACAAAGGGCCAATATCCAGAATCTAGAATGAACTCAAACAAATTTACAAGAAAAAAAAAACCCATCAAAAAGTGGGCAAAGGATATGAACAGACACTTCTCAAAAGAGGATATTTATGCAGCCAAAAGACACATGAAAAAATGCTCATCATCACTGGCCATCAGAGAATGCAAATCAAAACCACAATGAGATACCATCTCACACCAGTTAGAATGGCAATCATTAAAAAGTCAGGAAGCAACAGGTGCTGGAGAGAATGTGGAGAAATAGGAACACTTTTACACTGTTGGTGGGACTGTAAACTAGTTCAGCCATTGTGGAAGTCAGTGTGGCGATTCCTCAGGGATCTAGAACTAGAAATACCATTTGACCCAGCCATCCCATTACTGGGTATATTCCCAAAGGACTATAAATCATGCTGCTATAAAGACACATGCACACGTAAGTTTATTGCGGCACTATTCACAATAGCAAAGACTTGCAACCAACCCAAATGTCCAACAACGATAGACTGGATTAAGAAAATGTGGCACATATACACCATGGAATACTATGCAGCCATAAAAAATGATAAGTTCATGTCCTTTGTAGGGACATGGATGAAATTGGAAATCATCATTCTCCGTAAACTATAGCAAGAACAAAAAACCAAACACCGCATATTCTCACTTATAGGTGGGAATTGAACAATGAGATCACATGGACACAGGATGGGGAATATCACACTCTGGGGACTGTGGTGGGGTTGGGGGAACGGGGAGGGATAGCATTGGGAGATATACCTAATGCTAGATGACGAGTTAGTGGGTGCAGCGCACCAGCATGGCACATGTATACGTATGTAACTAACCTGCACCATGTGCACATGTACCCTGAAACTTAAAGTATAATTAAAAAAAAGAAAGAAAAAGGAATATAATCAAGGCAATGGTTAAAAAAAAACCATAGAATCTTTAAAATTCCGAGTCTACCATGATGCTCAGGGTGGGTTGGGGGATGAAAGGGTGGAGGGAGAAAAATTCCTTTTTGAGGAAAACTCTGGTTAGTAAAAGTAGAAAGAATAACAGAATTTGGAAATCAACATTTTGCAATCTCCAATGATTGATTTAGATAAGGATCATAACTGGATGCTATGTCCTCTAGGTGAAAGTTACACTTGCAAAGTGTGGCTGACACCATCTGAACCAAGTGAACAAATTTAACATCATCAATAGTGGGACAATCTGACATCATGTGCCTAGTAAGATGATGCAGTGCGTTATACATGGATTATTTATGAAATGTCCTGCTAGAAGTGTTTATCCTGAATCTAATCGGGCTCCAGCTTAATTTAAAGTCTGTGAAAGTTTTAAAATATATTACCCATTTCCCTCCAGGAAGATGACCTCAATTTATACTCTCAGCAGCGTAGTAGACTGCCAGTTTCCCTGAACAAGTTAATTGAGACCACAAGGACACAAAAATACACAGGCAGTATGTGAGATATTCATCAAGACAACAACTGATCTGGATTCTTCTCAAGACAATGTCATGGGTAAAAAAAGCAAGAGAATTCTTCTACATTACAGGAGACGTGCTTGAATCCTGGACTTTTAAAAAAGCTATAAAAGACATTTTGGGACCATTGAGGAATTTTTAGTGTGGAATGGTTATAAATGATATTTAGGAATTATGAATGTCTTCGATGGTCATAATATTCTCCTATTATGGCTATATGGGAGAATGTCCTCATGTTTTAAAGATGAATGCTGAAGAATTTAAAAAAGAAAATAATGTCTGCAACTTACTTTCAAATGATTTAGAAAAATCATGTAAATAGGGCAACAAGTGAAAATACCCCAAATTCTTCTGACTCTGAAGGTCCACAAAACATACTTGAAAAACCACTGGGCTAGGCAATGAACAATCTGGATTCCCCAAATGAGTACTTATGATGGTGACTGGGTGGAGGTCCTGGAAACCTGAAATCTATCCATTTGTGTATGTCTCTCCCAGTGCCTCAACACCTGCAGTTCCTTAAGGCAGCTTCATGAATGAACTTGTTCCCACTGGTTCTTTTTCTGACATGTGAAAGCTTTTATAATCTCAGATCCTGTCTCTTTATCTCATAATAAAGAAAGCTCCCCTCAGCATCTATGTCAACACAGACAAAGGGTTCAATCTGCCAAAATGCCTCAGCAAAGTCTGGCTCTTGACTACAACTGGGGTGTGGGATGAGGTGGCTTTTTCCTCTGATTTCACAACCTCTAAAGGAAATGGATTTTTATTGTTTCTTTTTCTTCTGTAAGCTAAAGGAACTAGGGCTCTAGAGTGGCTTCTACCACTAAGTTCCATCCTTCAACACCAACTGACTCAAGAAAAAACAGTGCAATAAGAGACCACAAACAACTTCCTGAAACACGAAAATAAAATGCATATATTTTCACCTGAATATTTAGAACAATAGGACTTAGCATTAGAAGACTGGGTTCAAATCCTGATTCTGCTTTTAACAAGTAGTGGACGGGTTATGGACAACTAATATCCTAAGCCTCAGTTATTTCACCTGAAAATTGGGGTGCTAATGATAATAAATGCTATGGAAATAAGATGAATAATAGCCATGGAAATAAGATGAGTTAATGGCTATGAACGTGCTTTGTAATATGAAAATGCTATAAAATGATCCTAGCTAGTCTAGTTAACTGAATTAATAAATGAATAATCTGAAGGCCAACAAGGACATGACTTGATTGACATTACAAAGCAAATTTATTTATCTGTTCAATACATTCTCTCCTGGGTTAGGACTTACACTAAAATATGGAGGTTAACTAGACTGTCCTCTTACTACATGTAGATGTATTTGTAGAGATCCATATAGATACATAAGAAATACAGCTGTCTCGCCAAATTTACTGAGTCATCCCAGCACCATACTAAGAGTTTGGGTATATTACTTCACTGAAGCTTATGACTGTCCTATGAGAAAAGTCCTATTATTATCCCCATCATATGAATAAGAACAGTGAGGATACAAAAGGAGAGATTATAAATGCCTGAAAAATATCAGTGAGAATGTAGGAGAAGAAATGGACTTTAGATTGAGCAGGTTGAATACACAGAACATAGAAAACCAATGGGATATAAGGATTAAGGAAAAAAGAGATGACAAGAAACCATGTTGCTATAATTGAGCAAATATTAATGCTATACAGAGGGAAGAACAGGTTGGTGGGGAAAATTTCCATTCATTTAACCAATATTAACTGAGCACTTAATATGTGTCTGACAATATTATAAGCTCTAGGGATATAGCAATAAAAAATATTGGTAAGAGTTCCTATTTTCCTGAACTTATATTCTGGGAACAGGGGAATATGTTCAAGAATTGTTATGTTCTTGATTTTTTGAGGCGCTCATTGAACATTTGGGTGAAGATGTCCAGGAAATACCAGGAAATAGTTGGAGAAATGGGTTTAATTCTCAAAAGAGTTGTTTAAATGAGAGATGAACTTGGGAAATCTTCAGTGTATAAATGGTGATTGAATTTATGAACATGAATGAGGTCACTCAGGCACAGAATATAGTTCCAGAAGAACAGCAGGCTAAAGGTGAAGCCCTTGCAATGCCAATATTTAAGAAGAAGAGTCCAAGAAAGAGATGAAGCAGGAACAGTTAGACAGGTAAAAGGAATGGCAGAAGAGAATGATATGATAAAAACCAAGGAAAGAGAAAGTTATAAGAAGGAATGGTTAGTAGTTTCAAATGCTGTTAAGAGATCAATATGTATAATGAACAACTGAATGTGGCACCCAGAGGGTCCCTATGATTATGGCAAAGGCAGCTTCAGGAGAGAAGTTGGGGCAGGAGGCCAATGTAGTATGTGGAGGGGTGTCTAGAAGAAAAGTCTGTAAAAGCCTCAATTAAAGTGAACTTTTCTGTTGAGAACTTAACCTGCCAGCATGGGCAACATAGCGATACATCATCTTTACAAAAAATAAAAAATTAGCCAGGCATGGTGACACGCACCTGTGTTCCAGCTACTCTGGAGGCCAAGGCAGTAGGATTGTTTGAGCTCCGGAGTTTAATGCTAAAGTGAGCTGTGATCGGGCTACTGCACTCCAGCCTAGGTGACAGAGAAAGACCCTATCTCAAACAAACAAACAAACAAAAACAACAACAACAACAAAAAACTTTATCTGGAGAGAAATATTAATATAAGCAACAGGAGACCAAGAGTGAGGTATTGGCTTTTAAAATAGAGGAACAATGTCAGCGTGTTTGACTGCTTGTGAGAAAGGGTCAGTAACAGAGAAGCTGGAAGAGAAAAGAGAAGGAAAAATGGGTGAGGCCACTGTAGAGACAAAGAGGAGGGATCCAGAACACCCTCCTCCTGACCCTGGACGCAGGGAAGGTGGGATGTAGAAGAGAAAAAATGAGTGAAAGGGAAAGACTCCAAGTTGAGGAAGTTGTTGCTGATGGCTTCTGCAAGGAGGAGGTAATTTTACCTATATTTTCTCACTTTCTTTTATGACAGTTTTTTGAGACAGGAACTCAAAAAATAGTTTTTTGAGAAACTATTAGTGTCCTCACTTCATTAATGAGGAAACTGAGGTTCAAAGAGGTTAAATGACCTGCCCTTGGAAATTTGCAGGGTCAGAATTCAAACCCAGACATTTCACTCAAGTCCCCTAGTCTTTCTTAATGATCACTAGAGAGAGAAATTTAAGGAAAAGAAACATCAATGCCTTCAAACCCAAGAAACCTTCAGAATGATGGTAACCACTGAGAGAAAAGAATAAAATGGACAGGAAAACAGGATAGAGCAAAGGCTGTAGGTACAATAATCGTAATAAAAATGGGTATTTATCTATAGCGTTATCTCTTTTTTCTCCCTATAACAAATAGTTAAACAATATAAACTATGTAAAGGGGCATGAGAAAATAGAAACTGCAAGGCTCGCTTCTAAGGAAATGATTGTTTTGTAAATATATCGTAAGAATTGATCATTAAAACAACATTTTGTAATTATATTAGTTTATGGCAGACAAGAATAATTTATTCAACAAATATTTATTGAGTATCTACTATGTGCCAGATAGTGCTCTAAACCCTGGACATATAATAGTGAATAAATCAGACAAGAGCTCTACTTTTTTGGAGTCTACGTTCTAATGAGAAGACAGGCAGGAAAATAGCAGATTAATCAGCAAATAGCTCAAGTAAAACCAGATGAGGAGTGCTACTTTAGAATGGGTAGTGGAGTGAAATTCTGAAGACATGACATTTGAGTTGAGACCTCATGAACAAGAATCAGTTATATGGAAATCTGAAGCAACACACTTAGGCTGAGGGAACAGTGAATGTCAAGGTTCTGGAGTAGGAGCCACCTTGGCATGTTCAATGAACAGCAAAAAAAAAAGCGTGATGAGCACAGGGAGGACAGTGGCAGGAGATGAGGCTAGAGACATGGGCAAAAACCAGACATGTAGAGCAGCAGTTCTCAGTCCTCGCTGCTCACCAGAATCCCCAGAGGAGCTTTAAAAATATGGATGACTGGGTCCCCACTCCCAGAGAAACTGATTTAATTGGTCTGAGGTGGGGCTCAGGCATAGATCTTTTGAAAAATGCCCTGGGGATTCTGATGGATATCCAAGGTTGAGACTAATATTGAGACTTCTAGCACTTTGGGAGGTCATGGCAGGCACATCACTTGAGGCCAGGAGTTCGAGACCAGTCTGGCCAACATGGTGGAACCCTATCTCTACTAAAAATATAAAAATTAGCCAGGCATGATGGGGCGCACCTGCAATCCCAGCTATTCAGGAGGCTGAGGAATGAAAATTGCTTGAACCGGGGAGGTGGAGGTTGCAGTGAGCTGAGATTCTGCCACTGCACTCCAGCCTGGGCAACAGAGCGAGACTCTGTCTCAAAAAAAAAAAAAAAAAAAAAAAAAAAAGAAATACCTGAAAAAAAAGAAAGAAAAATAAATACCTGAGACTGGGTAACTGGGTACTTTATACAGAAAAGAGGTATATATACACACAAATATACACATATATATATTTCAGAAAATTTTTTAAAAAGAAGAGACTTCCAGATATTCTGTAGTAAAGAGAATATAGGTGAAAGACTGTGTGTGGAAGCAGAGAATTAATGTAAGTTGAACCTGGTAAACAGAAGAATCATTTCAAATAACATTCCCCCACAGAGAAATTTGAGCAATCTTAATTGCCAGACCTCCTGAGAACATAAAAGCTTTACCTGCCAAGAAAACTTGGCTCAAGAAACACCAACTAATAAAATGTAAGACTTTCTATCTTCCAAGCTAACTAACATGTATTGAATTGGTAATATGTACCAGATATTGTATACTAAGCAATTCACTAGATGGTCTAGTATCTTCATAACAATTTCATCTTATCTGTGAGTAAGACCCAATTTAGAGATGACAGTACTCATCTTGGAGAGATTTAGTGTCTTATGTAATGCCACACAACTATTAAGTAGCAGAGGTGCGTCTCTCTGATTCGAAGTCTATGATCATTGCTGCTGTAAGACCTAGTTTGCTGAGGTTACAAAATGGCCAGTCTAATATTTAAACTACTGCTCTCTAGGAAAGTGCTCTTGGGTTCTGTTATGAAAAACTACCACCAGCCGGCCATGGAGGCACATGTCCTTAGTCCCAGACACTCAGGAGGCCGGTGTGAGAGGATCACCTGAGCTCTGGAGGTTGAGGCTGCAGTGAACCACAATGGCACCATTACACTCCAGCCTGGGCAATAGTGTGAAAAACTGTCTCAGAGAAAAAATGATTTCCCAGAGATTGGCAAAGAAAAAAAGGAGGAAAGAAACAAAGTTGAAAGAAAGAAAGAAAGAAAGAGAAAGAAAGAAACTTCCAGAAATAAAATCAATCTAGAACACTGTGGTAAAACAACTGTGGTAGTTATTACCCAGCTATCCACCCCTGTATTAGTCCATTCTCTTATTGTTATAAAGAAATACCTGAAAAAAAAGAAAGAAAAATAAATATCTGAGACTGGGTAACTGGGTAATTTATACAGAAAAGAGGTTTAATTGGCTCATGGTTCTGCAGGCTGTACAGGAAGCATAGCAGCTTCTGCTGCCTGGGGGACCTCAGGAAACTTACAATCATGACAGAAGGCAAAGGGGCAGCCAGCACTTCACATAGCCGGAGCAGGAGGAAGAGAGATGGGAGAAGGTGCTACATACTTTACACACTTTTAAATAACCAGATCTCATGATAACTCACTGGCTATCAGCACCCATGATCCAATCTGCCCCCATGATCCAATCACCTCCCACCAGGCCCCATTTCCAACACTGAGAATTATAATTCAACATGAGATTTGGTGGGGACACAGATCCAAAGCATATCAACCCCCCAGATAGTACTACAATTTCCACTTGGGCCTTGTGACAAGCTCTGGCCAATGAATTATGAGCTGGAATGATGTATACCATGTCTAGGCTGGAGCACATAATTGCTTCCTTTCCCACACTTATGATGGGCGATCCTTCAGATAATGGTTGTTCTATCAGCCAGGTCACAGAAGATCTCTCAGCCAACCCATGCTGAACAAGTAGTGAGAGCAAAAGATTGTGATGTTATAGACCACGGAGATTTGGGGGATTCTTTATTATGTAGCATAGCGTAGTTCATCCTGACTGATACAAACTGCATCCTTCCTCTCTGAGTTTGTCTAGAGATGACAAATTACCAGCTCTACTTATGCATCACACATGCCCAAAAGTGTGTGTGTGTGTTGTGTATGTGCTTTATTTTGTTGCTAATAAATCTATTAAAAGTGGAAAACTCTAAGTCCATCAGCAGAAAACATTCCTGTAGATATTTCTTCAGTACAAAGGATGTCAGTTGTTCAATCTGACAAGGTAATTAATGAATGAGAAACTCCAGAATAGCCACATCCAGACCACAAATACCTCCCTTGGAGAAAGATGCATATGTGGGCCAAGCAAGGGCAAAAGGAAGGTCCCTAAAGAAGAGCCCACACATGTTGATGTTGCTCTGGGAGAAATATATTAATTTATTTAACAAATAAAAAAGCTACTATGTTCCAGGCATTGTCCAAAGTGCAAAAAATAGAATAGTGAACAGAACAGACAAAAATCTCCCTTTTTATAGAGTTTATATTCCAATGGCGTGAGGGAAGATAATGACATGGCTCTAAAAACATTTAATTGTTCCAGTATAGACTTTCCCCATTTCTCATGATCTGTTCATCCAGCTGAATAAATAAGAAATGTGACAAGCCCATCACCCCCCACTTACTGACAGGGTAAAGTCTGAAGCAATATATGGGGTAATCCAACCTACACCATCTGGGGCCCTGAAATGCAGATCATTAATTTGGATTAAACCCTTAAATACTGGTTTCTGATTTCCATTCATAGGAAACAACAGCTCTTTCTTCTTCTGGCTGCACCTGGGGTTCTGCCCACTGGCCTAGAGGAAGAAATG